>NC_000013.11:79630831-79783671 GCF_000001405.40 Homo sapiens
TCAGAGGTGCTGCTTTTACCCCTGACCAAAAAGAAAGTAAAAAGAATCAAGATACAATTTGCAAGAAAGCATCTACCATCACTTGTTATGTATTCCTTTTAAAATGTTGGTCAAAATGGCTAAGTAGCTTGTGGTTCTTTCTTCTTTGCTCAATTCCTGCCACTGATCTTTTCATGTTCATTTTTCCATGGTGAACGCACATGCTACTTGGGAAGGAATAACAACCATTTGGCAATAACCAAGCTGTATTTAGTTTTCACTATGTAGCAGTCCCTGAAAGTATTTTAAATGTTTACTTATTTATGTCCTTCATCCACATTTTAGGATGATAACATGGAAATAAAGAGAGCTTACATGAGCCCATGTTTGTAGAGCTAGTAAGTGACAGATTGCGAGTTTGACCCAAGTCTGCCTGGCATCGGAGCCCCAAACTGCTTATTTTCTTAATTACCTCTTTATGCAAGTGCTTAGTACACTTTTAATTTATTGCCATCTGTCTTAGCATTTTATATTGGTAAGCTAAATACCTGTTTATACTAGCTTGAACTGAAGGGGGCAGAGCCTGCCCAAAATGAAAAGAAGACTAGATTTCCAACTTGATGCCAACTGGAACAAGTTGGAAAACTACTCTGCTGTGGCCTCGGGCTATTTTTTATGAAAAAGGAAGGATGACTCAGAGGGTAGAACCAAGAGCATAGCATACAGTCAGGAGGCAACAAGAATTATTCACAGGGAGGAGGACTTGACTGGCCTATAATCAAGAAAGTGGTCCTGGCTTGTTCAGTAAGATAGAGACAGAGAGAAAGAAAGGAGGGAAAGAAGAGGATAGGAAAGGAAGCTAGAAAAATATCATTTATTTTAGATTATATGATTATTCACATATAAAGTCCCAAATAATTTATCAATAAATTATTAAATTTCATAGGTTAAGATTAAATTCTCAAGGCCTCCAGGTAGATGGCCAAATAATTTTTAAAGGTGAAAGACTGGCATTAGACTTTTTTTTTTTTTTTGAGTCAGAGTTTCACTCTTGTCACCCAGGATGGAGTGCAATGGCATGATCTCGGCTCTCTGCAACCTCCCTGTCCCAGGTTCAAGCATCCTCCTGCCTCAGCCTCCCTAGTGGCTGGGATTACAGGTGCCTGCCATCATGCCCAGCTAATCTTTGTATTTTTAGTAGAGATGGGGTTTCACTGTTTTGGCCAGGCTGGTCTCAAACTCCTGACCTCAGGTGATCTGCCTGCCTGGGCCTCCCAAAGTGCTGGAATTACAAGCATTAGCCACCGTGCCCTGCTGCATTAGACTTTTGAAAGCTCACAGACAAAGTAAGAAAAGAAAGCACACTGAAAAAAAATCTGTGAAAAAAAGTGAAAGCCAAGGATTTTTCATCCAACTAAGGTATCTGTCAAATATGAAGCCTATAGAAAAACAATTCTCAACATACAAGGAATTAGGAAATTCTGTACTCATCATCTCTTCTTGAGGAATCTACTAGAGGATTAAATCCCACCAAGTGCTGATTGGAAAAAGTTCAGCAAAAGGACTGATGGCGAACACTTGAAAATATATAAATGTGCATCTAAGACTAAATGTAAGTAGGAATGAGGATGGAAAATGAATTTACAAATGCCATATACTGTAACAAAATAGAAATAATGCACCAAAAAATTGGGAGATGAAGGGAAAAAGAAAATGGAAAAAGCTCATTGTTGTATAGGCAACAGGTGGACATAAAGGATACTGGGGTGGCATCTCAAATCACTGGGAGAAAGGCAGGTTTTTAACAAATATGCTAGAACAACTAGATCGCCACTTGGAAAACAATAAATTTAAATGTATACCTTGCACCATACATAAGAATAAACTGCAAATTATAGATTAGGATCTAAAGTGTAAAAAATACTAAACCATTCAAGTACTGGAATAAACTATGAGTGAACTCTTATTAACCTTGAGCTCTCATTAAACTTGATATAGGGAAAATCTTTATAACTATGACTCAAAATCCAGAGACAAAAAAGATTGAAAATCTGACTATATAAAAATAAAAAAATTTGAATAGAAAAGCAGCCCCATATCAAAAGCACCACCAAAAGGCAACTGATGAACTGGAAGAAAATTCACCACACATCGCAGAGACAAAGAACTCTTAAAAGTTGAGGGACACAAGATCAAAAACCTGATAGAAAAATTAGAAAAAGAATGAACAAACAATTTACATTAAAAATGATACAAAAGTGGTCCTTAAACATCTAAAGCCATTCAAATTAAATCATAGAGAAATACAAACTAAAATAGCACAGAGATAACAGTTCTCATTTTTAGAGTGGTAAAAATTAAAAAGCAATAATATTTTGTGAGGTTGTGCAGAAATGGGCATTCTCATACATTGCTAGTGGGAATGAAAAATGGTACATCACTTCTAAAGGGATCTATGGCAAGACCTAGCAAAACTACCTATTCTCTTACTTTTTGGCTCAGAGATTTCATTTCTAAGCATCTGTCCTGACTATAAACCTCCAACAATATGAACATTCATATGCACAAGACTATTCATTGAGATATTGTCATTGCAAACTATTGGGAATATAAACGTCTATACATAGTGGAATAGTATCATAAATTATGGTATATTCACCCAACAGAAAACCATATAGCTGTAAAATTGAAGGATGGTGATTTCTGGGAAGTGACTAGTGATTTTCAGGATATACCATTAAGTGTGAAAGCAAACTACTAAAGAGTATTAAAGTGTGACAACAATCATATGAGAAAGAAGGAGATATAAGAAAGTATGTATCTGCTAGTTCATGCAAAATATAAGATAAATCTGTAAACAAGGAGATTGGTTACTTACAGAGGTAAATGGAAAGAGGGTAGAGAGAAGGGAGGAATGGGAGTAGAACAATGTGGATTAGGAAGAGGTGTACTCTTCAATGAATCCAACTTTTCTATAGCTCTGACTCTAATAACCATAGTAATGTCTCATATAACCATAGTAATGTTTCATGTACTAAAAAATTAAGTTAACCAGGATATACAGATATAAAAATGGAATATAAATAGCAAAAAAAAAAATGAACCTAACTGCATTACAAATAAATAACATTTTACTGAAGGGGATGAGGAAGATAAGGCCTGATCTGAGTAACTCTGGAAAAAGTGTATTTTAACTGGGTATCACAAGGCTGAAGACCAAAAAACAAAAGCAAAACCAAAAACAATCCTGTATACAAACACCATACTCTAGTTGGTAAATCTATAAGAGTATGGATTAGTAATTCAGTAACTATTTTATGTGTATAATAGGATTGAAGGAATAAATGAATGTGTGATAGATAATGAGAGTCAGGTTTCCCATGGTCAGAAATAGAAATATAAAAATAAGGAAAAGGGGAAGGCTGCAATGAATATTGTGCTGATTGACAGTATCATTATGAACTCAAATTATTTAACATAAATGCATACAGATATAGAAATAGAGATATATGTATGAGTCAGTACACATGCATATGTTTCTTATCTGTACATGTTCAGAAAGCATAGGGGCAATGGCACCACAGAAAAGTAAGCCTAGCATTCAAATATTTGTTTCCAAATACTATTATTCTCCAGTAAGAGGAACTAGGGATTCTCTAGTTGAATGCATGACTGGGCCAGGGAATATGCAAGATGAGCCTGTACCATTTTGTGGTAGCAGAAAAAAAATGAAGTGATTAAGAAAAAAAGGTAAAAAAGGATGGGCCATGCCAAAAGGACACAGAATCAAACTGAAGTTCCCTATGGCCCAAACTAGACAAATCTGAAGAACAGAATACTCATAATAGTATTGGATTTTAGTCCATAGATTAAAATAGATATTCATAAGTCTATATTGACATAAATAAATGGGAATAAGGGATGGTCTTGGCTTATGGAAGAATTGAAACTGATAAATTAGAAAAATGATAGTGATAAAGACCCATTAGACAAAGAGTTCAGTAATTGTAGCAAGCAAGATCTACCAGTAGATGCTAACATCCGTGGGTAAAAGTTTGAAGAGGAGTAGGACATTAGCATAGTCTCAAAGTATCTCTGCCAAGATATTTATCAATTACAAAGGGGAAAATAGTAACATTACAGTGGAGATACTTGGAAGGTACCACCTTAAGGAAGTAATCATGGTTAAGATGTTGAGATTATGAACCCCTTGAGATGAAGAAGTGAGAAATACCATCACATCTCATTTTTGACAAAAATGCATAATCTTATTTTAATCACCAGAAACATGAGAAAGTTCAAAACTGAGATACACTCTACAAAATAACTGACCAGTACTCATCAAAAGTATTAAGGCCAGAGAAGACTGAGGAACCCTCACAGAATAGAAGCAATGAGGAACCCTCAACAGTTAAATGAAATGTAGGATTTTGGATTGGATCCTCAAACATAAAATGGACCTGAGTGGGAAAACTAGTGAAATGTTAATTTTTTTCAGTTAATAGTATTGTATCAATATTAATTCCTTGGTTTCGATAACTGTACTCTGATAATGTAAATTGTTGACATTTAAGGGAATCAGGGTGAATTAATTCCAGTGGATTAAACCTTTAATGTGAAAGGCAAAACTGTAAAAATTTTAGAAGACAGTACAGAAGCATAACTTTATAGCCTTTGGTCAAGAAAGACTTTATTAAAGAAGAAGCCAAAAAATAAAAAATTCAAACTATAAGTGCAATAGTTGATGAATTAACAATTAAAATTAACAGCTTTTGAACCTACAAGCAGAATAAAAAGATGATCCAAACCCAGGAGAAAATATTACAAGCATATGTAACTAATAAATAATTGTGACTATAAATATATAAATAGTTCCTACTAATCAAGAATTGAAACATAAATTTACTCGGTAGTAAAATAGGTAAAAGACATAAATGGATTTTCATAGAAAACAATATATGACTGGCTTAAGCATATTAAAAATGTTTAATTTCATTAGTAATTCCTAAAATGAAATATACAACTCTAATGAAATGCCATTTAACTCTCATCAGATTGGCAAATATGAAAAGTTAGATACTGTTAGGCCTGGCGCAGTGGCTCACGCCTGTAATCCCAGCACTTTGGGAGGCTGAGGCGGGAGGATCACAAGGTCAGGAGTTCAAGACCAGCCTGGCTAACATGGTGAAACCCCATCTCTACTGAAAATACAAACACTAGCTGGTCATGGTGGCACATGCCTGTAATCCCAGCTACTCGGGAGGCTGAGGCAGGAGAATGTCTTGAACCCGGATCCAGGAGGCAGAGGGGTTGCAGTGAGCCAAGATCACACCACTGCACTCTAGCTTGGCCAACAGAGCGAGACTGTCTCAAAAAAAAAAAAAAGTTACTGCTAAATGTTGGAAAGAATATAGATGAATGAGAATCTCATCCACTGCTGGTAGGAGTGTTACCTGGTAGAGTCTCTTTGCAAAACAGTTTAGTCTTACCAGTAAGGGTAGAATTTGTGCATAGGATATGACCAGCTCTTCCCCTCCTTGATACAACTCCTGGAAAATTTCCTGCACAAGCGCATTTAAGACATGTACAAAAATGTTCACAGCAGCATGATTCTGAGTAGTCAAGAACCAGGAAAATTCAAGTGTTCACCAACTATAAAATGTACAAATAAATATTGATGTATTTATACTATATGTTCATAGCATGGTATGTAGTATAGCATAGAGTATATGTTATGTATATAGTATACATAAATAAATGAAAGCTGCAAGTGTCAACATGGATGAATCTTAAAATCTGTTGAGTGAAAGAAGCAAGCCATGTAAACACACATTCTATGATTTTATTTATGTAGGGCTCAACAAAAACAGTAATTGTTCAATGATACACATACATTAAAGATATACATATAAAGCAAAATTATGAAAAGAAGTAATTAATGAATTTATCACAGTGATCATCCCTAGTGGGAAATAAGTGGTTATCAGGGAGAGGTACTCATGGGTTCTTTAATCTACTGATAACACTTCTTTCTCTCTATATATTCTATATAAAAAGTAAATAAAATAATATGTTTTATATACTATTTGGCATGTATTATATAGCATATAATTAAAAATAAACAGTTTTAGACGAAACAAAAATATTGCCTGAAACGTAACCACTAATTTATCAAAAGCCTTTGCTCTTAGGATTTTCTTTGTAGCTTAGAGATAAATCCATAGAATATAGTGTCTTGCTGGTTTGTTACTTAAAATGAACCAGTATTTTAAAAGACATTTCACTGTTTAAGAATGGGGTCATGAGTTTCAAGGCTGCTTCTCTGATCAAGAAAAAAAAGTGAAGATAATAATTTGGCTTTGGTTCCATCCCACACTTAAGTTACTAAAGAACATTAGTCCGCACTCGGCCATCTGCCATGCAATGTGCAGCCAGGGCAGGGAAAGTAACTCGTGTGAATTCAGAAACTTATCTCTCTGACATTCTGGCCCAGAAAAGAGAACCAGAAATAGAGTACTACCCGTTGAGCCAACATTTTCCCACAGTCTGTCTCAAATTTCATAGCCCTTGTTAAGTAAGTTGATAATATCAGTCCTATTCCCAGTGAGCAAATGTTAATGTCATTTAAATAGAATCTGAGGAAAGGATTTGATGAACCAAAAAGCTAACTGAAAGTATTGAGAGATCAAGAGTGGAGAATATATGAAGAAACACAAATTATTTGCTCTACCATTTTGCAAATTGTCTAACCCTGTACTTAAGGGAGAGAAGGCAAAGAGGGTCTGACATCATTTTTTTTCCATTAAGCAGGTGCAAATCTCTCTGGTATGTCCATTTTATTTTCTTATTTCTCTGTTCTCTTTCCGGTTTTTTTGTTTTATTCTTCCCAGTTTTTTAAAAAACTCTTAATATTGTTAGCTCCAGATCCATTCAGTAGGGACAAGTTAAGGTTAAAGATTAAGTAGGGTATTTGTTTTTTTCCTTTTGCTTCAAATACTGATTACTACAGGCTGGGTGTGAGAACAGATAGCTCAATTTTCATTGCTGCTTGCATCAGGACCTAGAAACAGAGTAAGCAAATACATGGTCTAAATTGTGCCTCTTTGGTGGAAAGCCTTTATGTTAAATATGTCTTGTTAAGTCTTAAGTAAATGTTAAGTAAATAAATCGCAGAACTTGAGGAAACAACAAAATGGGAAGTTAGTATGGTCCATTTTCACATCTTAAGTCCAGTCCCATGAACACAGCTTACAACTTTCTGTTTGGTCATGTAAGGGGATAAAAACATCCACATTGTAAATTCTAAAATATCATATTCTGTGACTTGGAGATAAGATTTTTTGATATTCCAGTTCTAGGAGCAAAATGAATAATTCTGCATGATTGCTAAAAGGAATAGCAGATAAATTGTATAAATCATTATTTCTTTGAATGAGCTCTACTCACATTAAATAAAAAGTCACAGTAATTTCCTAGAGAAAAAAATTGGTATATATTGAAGTTTCCTGTAGTTGGAATTTTTGACCAACTTCCATGTGCATCTCCAAAACCGTATGCTAACCCAAAGAAGTGAAATTCAAGACATTGAGAAAGAGTGATGATCAGGGCGGGAAGATACATCTGCAAAAATATTTTCTACCATTGGCTTGAATATTTTACCAATAAAATATACTTACAGAGGACTACTGTTAAAATACAAATTACCTTGAACAAGTAAGACATTAGGTACCAAGACATATATAATAACAGTCCAGTGTGGCTATGGTTTTCAAAGTAAGGAGCCAAAGTGAGAAAAATGTGAATATGTCAGCATTCTACAAATATGGTAAGAGAGGAAATTAGTATAAATTACACCGAGAGCAATCCAGCTTGATATTTTGCTTTTAGATCCTTTGTTAGTCTTCTTGTAGGGTTTTCCATTTTAATAAAGGATCAAATTTTAAAGGGATTAAGTTCTTATGGGGAGGGGTCAGAATTTCAGGCTTCACCCAGTGGGTGAATGAGTTATCTGGAGGAACACTGAAGCATTTTTCATCCCTTTCAAAGTCACCCTAAGGAGACAGCTGCTTACCCCTGTTCTAGGGGATGATTATATTTTAGTGAAAGGGTGATTATAAGCTTGAGGCTCACTATCTTTTGAAGCATGTAAACAAGTTCTAAGGCAGTTTCCAAAAGCGGAGTTCAAAGTTCAAATAGGTAGTTAGCTCCCTGATGTAAATATTAGGCTGGTGCAAAAGCAACTGCAGTTTTGCCATTACTTTTAATGGCAAAAACTGCAGTTGCTTTTGCCCCAGCCTAATACTTTGAAGCACAGCACACATTTTTATGTTTGCTCTGGTGTATCTGATAATAGTCTCATTTAAATATTTCTTCCACTTAGGAAGCTTGCCTCATGGAAACAAGGAGTAGGAAGAGCACTGAGTATGTGTTGTTTTTTTTTTAATACTTTAAGTTCTGGGGTACATGTGCAGAATGTGCAGGTTTGTTATATAGGTATACACGCACCCATCAACCCATGGTATACATTAGGTATTTCTCCTAATGCTATCCCTTCTCTAGCCCCCCATCCGCCGATAGGCCCCGGTGTGTGATGTTCGCCTCCCTGTGTCCATGTGTTCTCATTGTTCAACTCCCAGTTAGGAGTGAGAACATGTGGTGTTTGGTTTTCTGTTTTTGTGTTAGTTTGCTGAGAATGACAGTTTCCAGCTTCATCCGCGTTCCTGCAAAGGACATGAAGTCATTCTTTTTTTATGGCTGCATATTATTCCATGGTGTATATGTGCCACATTTTCTTTATCCAGTCTATCATTGATGTGGATTTAAGTTGGTTCCAAGTCTTTGCTATTGTGAACTGTGCTGCAGTAAACAGGTGTGCATGTGTCTTTACAGTGTAATGATATATAATCCTTTGGATATATACCCAGTAATGGGATTGCTGGAATGAAATTGTGGTTCTAGATCCTTGAGGAATCGCCACACTGTCTTCCACAATGGTTGAACTAATTTACACTCCCATCAACAGTGTAAAAGTGTTCCTATTTCTCCACATCCTCTCCAGCACCTGTTGTTTCCTGACTTTTTAATGATCACCATTCTAACTGGTGTGAGATGGTATCTCATTGTGGTTTTGATTTGCATTTCTCTAATGACCAGTGATGATGAGCTTTTTTTCATATGTTGGCTACATGTCTTCTTTTGAGAAGTGTCTGTTCATATCCTTTGCCCAATTTTTGATGGGGTTGTTTGTTTTTTCTTGTAAATTTGTTTAAGTTCTTTGTAGATTCTGGCTATTAGCCCTTTGTCAGATAGATAGATTGCAAAAAATTTCTCCCATTCTGTAGGTTGCCTGTTTACTCTGATGGTAGTTAATTAGATCCCATTTGTCAACTTTGACTTTTGTTGTCATTGCTTTTGGTGTTTTAGTAATGAAGTCTTTGCCCATGCTTTTGTCCTCAATAGTACCGCCTAGGTTTTCTTTTAGGGTTTTTATGATTTTAGGTCTTACATTTAAGTCTTTAATCTATCTTGAGTTAATTTTTGTAAAAGCTGTAAGGAAGGCATCCAGTTTCAGTTTTCTGCATATGGCTAGCCGGTTTTCCCAACACTATTTATTAAATAGGAAATCCTTTCCCCATTGTTTGTTTTTGTCAGGTTTGTCAAAGATCAGATGGTTATAGGTGTGTGGTGTTATTTCTGAAGCCTCTGTTCTGTTCCATTGGTCTATATATCTGTTTTGGTACTGGAACCATCCTGTTTTGGTTACTGTAGCCTTGTAGTATAGTTTGAAGTCAGGTAGCACGATGCCTCCAGCTTTATTTGCAAATGAGACTCTACCAGGTAACCCTCCTACCAGCAGTGGATGAGATTCCCTTGATCTATATTCTTTCCAACATTTAACAGTATCTAACTTTTTTTTTTTTTTTTTTGAGATGGAATCTTGCTCTGTTGCCCAGGCTGGAGTGCAATGGCATGATCTTTGCTCACTGCAACCTCCACCTCCCGGGTTCAAGCCATTTTCTTGCCTCAGCCCCCCGAGTAGCTGGGATTACAGGCATGTGCCAACATGCCCAGCTAATTTTTGTCTTTTTAGTAGAGACAGGGTTTCACCATGTTGGCCAGGCTGGTCTTGACTCCTGACCTCAAGTGATCACCTGCCTTGGCCTCCCAAAGTGCTGGGATTACAGGCATGAGCCACCGCGCCCAGCAGCACTGAGTTTTGAAGAGGAAGGCAACACTGTTTGAAAGTGGCTCTCCACCTTTTAGCTGTGTTCCCCACATACTCTTTTCTCTATGTGCATGCATCCCTTGGTGTCCCTTTCTCTTCTTATAAGGATGCCAGCCATACTGGATTAGGTCCTATTCTTATTACCTCATTCAATCTTAACTACCTCTTTACAGACCCTATCTCTTTAAATAGAGTTATGTCCTAAGCTACTGGGGTTTAGAATTTCACCATAAAAATTTTGAGGGCACACAATTCAGACCATAACAGTATATAACAGGTGGCTCACAGAAAAGGAAACCTGTATGATCATTAAATACATGAAAGAATGTACATTTAAAAAATCACAATAAAATGCCATTTCATATGTATCAGTTTGACTTATTTTGGAGGAATATAGAGTGAAGAAACCCAAAGGAACAACTGAGAAGTATAAATCGGTACAACCACTTTGCAGAGTAATTTTGCAATCTCTAGTAAAGTTGATATTTTCAATAATCCAGAAATTTTACTTCTAGATATATATTCAGAGCCTAAACAAATATTTTTATTTTAGTGTACATGTCAATATATATACAGATGTTCACTGCAGTGCTGTTTTTAAGAGCAAAATTAGAAGCAGCTTAAGTAGCCAAGAAAAAAGGAAATAAAGTGTAACCCTTTAGTGGAATGAACCAGATCCATATGTATTTATGTGGCTAAGTCTCAAAAGCAAAATTCTGTGTGAAACAAAGACTATTTTAGATGGGAAGAAAAGTGACTTTCACACTTATTGGCTGGTTCACTTTGATTTAGTCTCAGAGCCTATTGAAGCCTCAGTTTTTGTACTAGTAAAATGAGAATAATAATACCTATTGTGTGGGGTTGTTCTAAAATTTATTAGAAAGAACTTTGAGATAATGCAATGGTTGTGATAGACAAGATTCTAATATTTAAGGAAAAATAAAAAACACAGTACCTTGCTCAGAATAGGCAAACAATGAATGCAATATTGGCACATGTGAGGTCAACGCAGACCAATTGTTGGGAACCTTCAAATAATTGTTAGAAAAATATGTTAATAAAATACTTTTCATTGATGTTGTCTTCAACTAAAATGCAATGTTAAGGAGGAATAGAGTCTTCCTTAAGGAAATCCTCAATCCCATCTGTATTTTTATATACATATATATATATAATATATATATGTATGTATGTGTGTGTGTGTATATATATGTATATGCTGCTTGTTGGTACTTTTCATTATTGTTGTAACATTGATGCCATTTTTGTTTGCTGAACTGGGTTTTTTGTAATTATTTTTCTCATAATGAAGCACATGTATAATTCCATGTTGCCTTAAGAACTATAAGATATGTCTAAGAACACTGCATGGGTGGCCACCATTGGTAGTTCACCATTTAACCTAGTCCTGTTAGCTACTTTTTAAATGATGAGAAGCTTTTGCTTAATTATACTCAGATGCATATCATAGATGATAAGTAAAGTAAAATTGATGGCAAAGATGGTATTTCACAGGAGTTGAGTTCTATCAAAACTTTTCACTGTTTTGTTGAAACCTATTCTCTTCCTCACCTGCTCCTAATTCAGCTCAGATCCGAAATTAATTGAAATCCATTTCTAGGTTTCTTCAGTACTTTTGAAATAAATACTCAGTACTTATCTGGATAAGTTCTACAGCAAATGTCTACTCCTGAAGTGACTGCAGTGCTATATATGGTCCTCCTGAAGGAACTCGGCTGCTACAAATACCAGCTTTTCTCACCAGATGGTGTTGCTATCAAGCATAGCCTTCCTCTGCCTGAGACTTTGCTGGTCCTCACTGGAGTAAGGTCTCTGTGGCCCTATGAGAGACTGACATATACAAACTGAGAATGGTCAGAACATATAAGAAATCGAGCTCTGACCTACAATCTGCAGCAACCAGCCTAGAACTCAATTATTTACAGTTACCAGCCCAGAACACCAGCCTATCTATAAGTCAGACTTTCAGGAAGTCAGACCAGTATGTCCAGCAACCAGCCTAGAAACCTAAACAATAGCCCCTGCAACAATCAGCTACAGATGCCCAGGACTTGATTAGTAACATCTTTTCTTATTTTTGTCTCTGCATTCAACTTCAGACCAACCCAAGAAAACTTAATATACACCCCTAACCAATTACAGAGGGTGCTTTGCTTCTAGTCAGCCCGCCTAAAGCTTTCCCATGCCAATAGCCTCCAGTCAGGGCACACCTGAAGCCTTCTCTTTTTTCCCCACTACAATGCTTTTCCACTCCTTTGAATTTCTGTTTACAGACAAATGATGGTGGCTAACTCCCTCCCTATAGCTCTGAATAAATAGCCTTTATCTGTTCTCATTTGCTTGGTCTTTATTTATTTCCATGCCTGGCTCCTGGCACAGGTCAGCATGGTTTGTGAGGCTGATTCTTCCATAAGTGTCATACCTGATGAAAGATACCACTTCTCAGGGCCAGGGGTTGCTTCCTCAGTCTGAAGTTTTAGGACCCAGGTTGGCTACTCCTTTCTAGCTCTGGTCATGCACTCAGAGATCAGGCTGCATTCAACCTGCTGGAATACAAAGAGCTAGTTCTGTCTTTCCTTGTCACACTGGATTGCCTACTGGGCAAGGCCTAGATGTCAGACACCACATGCCTCTTTAGATGGGGCTTGGAATACCCTCTGCTCCCCACAACACAGTGAAAATGCTCTTTAAAAAAAAAAAAGTAGGGAAAATTGAAGTGCAATTGAAATGTTTGGCATATCCTCTTATCTAAATTAATCAAACTTCGTTTCACTGGCATTCAAACAGCTTCTTCGAAAGTCACCTGAATGTTTTAGTCAGATAGATAATTAGCGTCTGAAAGGCTCAAGTTAATCTTTCCTATCATTGAAAATCCTATTATGAAATACTCAGAACTGAACAATTGGTATTGCCTTTAATATATTACCTGGTATATGACAAGATACATATATATACATATATATGCGCATACGTGTGTGTATGTGTGTGTATGTGTGTGTGTATGTGTATATATATTTGTTTTGAGACTGTCTTGCTCTGTCACCCAGGCTGGAGCGCAGTGTCATAGCTCATTGTATCCTCAAACTCGGCTCAAGGGATCCCCCCATCTCAGCCTCCTGAGTAGTTGGGACTATAGGCACATGCCACCGTGCCCAGCTATTTTTATATATTTATTTGTAAAGACAGGGTCTCACTATGTTGCGTAGGCTAGCCCTGAACTCCTGGACTCAAGTGATCCTCCTGCCTCAGCCTCCAAAAGTGTTGGGATTACCAGTATGAGTCACGGTGCCCAGCCTAGGTAACATTTGTACATATCTTAATGACAGCTCCTTCAGCCTCACTACTACCCTGCCATGAGCCCCAGTTTATCTCTTGTGGCTATCTTTAATTTTCAGAGCCTGAAAAACACTAGCTCATTGTTTTATGGTAAAAAAAAAAGTTTTTCAGGGGCAAATATGTGCTTCATTTATGGTAAATTTGTGTTCTCCAACTTTATTTACTTAATGTATTTCTTGTTCTTCTGCATATACAATGTCTTATCATTTCAAGGCTGCTTTGTAGTGTAATCTCTATGCAAACATGTTAAGTAAAGCAAATTAAGATGCACCATGTATTGTGCAGTCAGTGCAAATAGCCTAGGTGACAATCTGATGAATGGATAGATGTCTTCCACCTTGGGCCAACTTCACATATTTGTAAGGGAAGACAATGTTGTCACAGCTTCTCTGGAGTTTTCCTTTGATATTGATTGTAAGACATATCGATTTCAGAAACACCAAATTGCAGGAAAAAAATGCATCTTAGCATTGAGAAATATGGTCATTATAAAATGACAAAGTCTCATCCTTTCCCAGTTCAGAAGCTGAGCTTGGTCCTGTTGCAAAAGGCAAAAACCTGAGAAGCCAAACTTAATGTGTTCCTTTCTCTTGCTCCTCAAAGCTCATCCATCAGCACTTCTATCTCCCAAGTGCATCTCAACTCTACATATTTAACTCCTCTGTCTACCACTACCATATTCCAAGGCATCATCTCATCCCTGGGCCACTGCTGTGCCTCTCTGCCATCATCCATGCCTTCTTCCCCTCTATTCTCCAAAGCACCTGCAGAATAATCTTTTTTTTTTCACTTTTTTTTTTTTTTTTTTTTTTTTTTTAGACAGAGTCTAGCTCTGTCACCCAGGCTGGAGTGCAGTGGTGCAATCTTGGTTCACTGCAACTTCTGCCTCCTGGGTTCGAGCGATTCTTCTGCCTCAGCCTCCTGAGTAGCTGGGATTACAGGTGCATGCCGTCACGCCCAGTTAATTTTTGTATTTTTAGTAGAGACAGGGTTTCTCCATGCCTGTAATCTCAGCACTTTAGGAGGCCAAGGCAGGTGGATCATGAGGTCAGGAGTTAAAGACCAGAATAATCTTTTAATAAATGTGATCATATTACTCTTCTGCTAAAACTCTTCAGTGGATCCCAGTTGTCAATCCGATAAATCCTAACTCCTCTATGTTTGGGCAGGCACACTACTCCAAATGCATCTCTGCTCCCCTCCCTGCCATACTTCAGGCACACTGGCCTCCTTCTCATTTTCTTGTACTGTCAAAGCTTTCTTGATCTAGGGACTCCTACCCCACCAATATCATCACTTTCTTCTCACCACTGACATCATTTTTCAGGTCTTGGCTTAAATGTCAACACCACAGAGAGGTTTTCCTGACAGCCCCACTCAAAATAGGTTTCCTGTCCCTATGTGCCCTCCCGCCACCTGCTTGCTTCTATTGCACCACTTTTCTTTTGTAGCGCTTATGATTATGTGAAATTATACATTTATTTTTTGGTGAGTAGGCTAACCCCCGAATGGGAAGCAGCATGTTTGTTTTGTCACAAACCAAGTGCTTGGCTCCTAGTATTGATCCATAATTATCTGTGCAATAAAGACATTAAAGGAATAGAACTCTAGACATGGAAGGCTAGAGGGCTGTGTCAACAAGCAGGGCCTCAAGCCTCAGGCTGAGAGAGAGAGAGAGAGAGAGGTGTATCCAGTAGGACAGTATTTCATTGTAGAAGGAATATTGGCTGGGGACCGTGAGGTCTGACTTCAGGTCTCGGCTTTGCCATGTAATAGCTGCATTAACTTGAGTGTGTTCTTAACTTCCCTGTGATTCTTTATCTTTGTAAGAGAATAATAATACCTACCTCACTTACTAATTATTGCAAAGCTTGTATGAGACTGATATATGTAGAATTCCCATGCAAAGTTAAGTAATTATTCAGATATGGAGGTAAGGATCCAGTCATAGGAAAAGTTTCAAGGCATGGGCTTTGTCACAGCTGCTGAAAAAAGGCCAAGTACTAGTCCTGGTTACAGGACTAGAGCCTGACTGGCTGTAGATGTGACTAACCATGAGTTTCTAGAGTTGTTGAGTTTTCTACTGCTAGAGACAGAAAGTGTCTCTTAGTTTAGTTGGGGAGGAGAGCATCCATAGGGGGTCTCAGGGCTCTGCCTATAGGTTTGAGGTGACCTCAGAGAGAGGGATTCCAAAGCTCTCTTGCCACTCTTCTCTCATCTCCATAGTCTCAGGATTTCTTCTTTTAAAGCCCCTTTAATGCTATAAATTTCTTCTATAGGAGCAGAAAGTCATTCACAATGTAAATAAACAGTTGGAAGAATGTTTGCCTTATAACAGATGGTCAGTCTTAAATTAATGAAACTTTGTAAAATTTCAGGCATTATCCAATGAACGGGGAGGCATTTGGGAATAATTTTCTTCATGTGCCTCATCTCTATAGATTAGTGCTTGTGGAAGAGGTGGCTCACTGTCCTTTGGAGTATATATCTCCTTTTCCAAGGTGTAGAGGGCAAGGGCAGTGGCTGCCCATCCAAGACTTCATGTCTGAGTCCTCTTGCCTCTAGGTAGGTCCCATGTGTGATGTGTGTTACTTCCTGGACAATGTGATCAGTGCTGTGTCTTCTTCATGCTCCCTATGTCCTCCTCCTGCTGAAGGCAGAAGATGACACAGTTCTAAAGGGTAGCAGAGCCGCAGAATGGATGAGGCCTGAGTCTTGACGGCTCATGTAACAGGAAGCTCTCTGTTCTCCTGGAACACCTGCCCTGAACTATTAGATGAGTGAGAAATAAACTATTGTGTTGAACCACTGAATTTTAGAGTTTGTTTAAGACCACTAGTTTTGTAACTGACACAGAAAACAATTTCTGGGATTAAAATTGAACACAGGAAGCAATTTTGTCTGCCTTATTTTATCATAATTAAGCATATTGTGACATGTAAGTTATTTACTGTTCAAACAGGTAAGCACAAGTTATATGATCTAAATATTAGTGATGGGGTTAATAAACAAATGTTATAATATCTATTAGCATTAGCAGAATAAATTTTTCTATATGTAAATCAGTTTGGAGTCTATTTTTCCCTATCTTCTAAGATGACTAAACTGCCAAAGTTGAATTATGAAAACCTGCAAAGCAAGTTAAAGGCTGTAATCTTTGTATCCTTCAGCCAATGATGATTTATTTTTATTTTTGACATTGCATCTTCCTGCTCTTTTTTATCTTTGTCTGCCTTATTGTTTCTAATATACTTTGAGAGTAAGCCAGAAGGTGGTAAAAGCCTATGTTTCTCCAAGTCACGGAAACAGCTGACATCCTGTCTCTCTCTATTAATGAGTAATAGACAGGTGGATATTTACCAGTGGCTCCAGCTGAATTACGACAAGACCCATCATGAGCCAGGCTGGGAGGCTTGTCTACTGTGTGAGTAAGGGTAGCTCAGTAGAACAACTCCTGAGTTTCTCAGCAAGTGGGGACAAGTCCAACATTGCTGGCTCTGGCTAAATAGTCATAACAGTTGTTTTTGTAAAGGGCACTACAATTATCCTCTCTGCTGATGTTTGTTCTGTAGGAAATCTCTGTTAGGTCTTTTGTAGGTGAAGCTAAAACACACACTTTCAAAAAATTGCTGAGGATTAACCACAGCATTAGAATTCAGTGTTCCTGAGAACCCTACATGTTATTGAGGCCCCTGACAAAATACTGGCTTTTACATATAGAAGCACCAACTAATGATTTCAGGGCAAAAGGAAGCGCTTTCTTAGTGACCCAGCTTGTTAAAGTGTTACCTGGGTAAAATCTGTATATGGTAACCTTAGTTCAGAAAGCTTCTAGGATTTACAGGGATTATCTCATTCATTTTTCCAACAAACCCTTCGTTGAGCAAGTGTGAAATATTACCCCTTCAGAAAAGTGGTGTAGACAAAGTACATAGTTGGCTGAAGATGTTATTCACAACCAATGTTTTCTTTAACTTTTCTGGGGTTATGTCTCATCTACATGACTGAATGTATGAATGAAAGAGGTGAGGTTTGGAATGACTGAGGGAATCTTAGAGCAGGCCATTCTATTATGCAGACTCTACTAAGCATTAAGAAAGTACAGATTTTGCAACTCCTATATAACTCTTATTATAGGCAATTTCTTAAATACAGTCAACCTTGATTGCAAATGTTTATTTTGCACATCATCAGTCTAATGTATTTAATAAATGATAGCAAAAATCCCTTGCATTACAAGAAGGAACTCACTAACTCCATAAACATCCACAACTTACCAATGGTTGTAGTTAAACAGGTGAAAATAGTTGTTGGGGATCAAAGAATATAGTGATAAAAATGATTATAATATGTTGAGAAATATATAGAAAAATGAGTTGACAAGGAAATTGAGGGAAAACAAGAACAACACCCAGGCTACATACATGTCTACTACATTTGATGGCCTAATGGTCAGAACCCTTGTTGACCTGGCTTATAGGAGAAGAGATGGGGCCGATGCTAGGGTAATGGAGCAATTGAGCCTTTTCAGTTTGGATTTTTGTATAGAATATTTCACAAGAGAGGCATCTGTTATAGTGCAAAACCATGAGCTTTAACTTCACTCAAGCTTGTGTTTATATATCTGGCTTTGTCAGTCAACAGTTCTGTGAGTTTGGATTTCGCCTCTCATTGCCACAGTTTCCCTATTAACAAAATGGGTTACCTCTATCCTTTTTGTAAGTTACTCTTACACTAATTATTATTTTATTGCATTTAGTTACATTGTTTGACGAGCTATTTGAGAGCAAAGTATCTTAGAAGATGAATTATCTGAGAGAAATTTTTTTTCTTGTTTAATGATTGTTTTTAAAGACTTTTAACATATCAAGTACCATTATTCTCATATTTACTCAACTTTAATAAGAATGTTACATATACATCCATTATGTAACAAATTATGTGAAATATATGATTTGGGGATTCTGTAGTGGTTACTGAATTATAGTCACTCACAACTCATTAGCACAGCCTTGATCCCATGCTTAATGGATGGAGTTCATAAAGTAATGTGAAACAGTAATATTGGAGGTAGAGTGTAGATGAACTTTGTATTAATATGGAATAATTTAATTTGCATGACTCTTCCATAAATAAAGAGATGCATATCATCTACAAATTTATATATAGCACAAATCTATTTCAATAGAGATCACAGCTGTCTCTTGCATGCAGTAGTTATAAATATCACATGAGACAGCTGTTTAGTAAACAAATGGTGCTTTATATTGAATTAGAGTGTCAAAATCGAACTTCTTATTTCTAATGGTTTCTTAATAGTTGAAACTTAGTATACATCAGTAAGATGTTTATGTATAACTGTCAGGAAAAATGTAGTTTGGGACACTCTTTTTTCCATTTTAATTTTTCTATTTCATCAGCTTTAGGGGGACAAGTGGTTTTATGTTTACATGAATAAATTGTACAATTAGTAAAGTCTGGGATTTTAATGTACCCATCACTGAATAGTGTACATTGTACCAAATAGGTATTTTTTTTCATCCCTCATCCCCTTCTCACCCTCCCTACTTCCGAGTCTCCAATGTCCATGAAACTACTCTGTATGCCTTTGTGTACCCATAACTTAGTTCCTGCTTGTAAGTGAGAACCACAGTATTTAGTTGTCTGTTCCTGAGTTACTTAGAATAATGGCCTCCAGCTCCATCCAAGTTGATGCAAAAGATATTTCATATTCTTTTTTTTAATGGCTGAGTAGTATTCCATGGTGTATATACGTATACCACATTTCAGGACACTATTTCTTAACCTTCTCTTCTGATTGAAAGTTTTTTTTTTTACATTTTCAGTGGAAAACTTCAAACATATTTAATAGACAGCACAATCTACTAAATATGTTTAGTAGACTATGTCATGAACAGTGTAATGAATCTGTCTGTACCCATATCACAACTTTCACAATTGTTAGTTCTAGGACAAATCTTGTTTCATCTATTCAGGCATCAATTCCCCACCCCCCAACCCTCATCCCATATTTTAGAAATTATTTTTTTTATAATAGTTTTAGATTTGCAGAAAAATTGAGAAGACAGTACAGAGGGTTCTTATATATATCACACCCAATTTCCCCTATTATTACTATCTTACATTATTATGATGCATTTGTTACAAATAATAAACCAATATCAATACAATATTATTAACTAAAGTCCATCATTTATTTAGATTTCCTTATTTTTTGCCTAAAGCCCTTTTTCTGTTTCAGGGTCCTACCTGGAATATCATGTTGTATTTAGTTGTCTTTGGCTGTGACAGTTTTTCTTGCTTTTGAAGACCTTGACAGTTTTGAGGAGTTCCAGTCAGATATTTTTAGAATACTCTATTAGAATTTGTCTGATTTTTTTTCTCATGACATAAGATTGAGGTTATGGGTTATTCACAGAGGTGAAGTGCCATTTTCATCACATCACATCACGTCGCACTATCAGCATGATTTATGACTGCTGACGTTCGCCTTGATCACCTGGCTGAAGTAATGTTTGTTAGGTTTTTCTACAGTAAATCTACCCCACCCTCTAAGGAAGTCACTATAACCAGTCCACACTTAAGGTATGTTTCTTCTTGAGGGGGTATCTACATAAGATATTTGAAATTCTTTTGCATGGATTTGTCTTTTCTTCCCCATTTAATAATTGATTCAATTATAATTTTTTAATTGATACATAATATTTGTACATATTTATGGGATACATGTGATATTTTGTTACATGCATAGACTATATAATGATTCATATTATTTTAAAGCAAATTCCAGATGTCATATGTTTTCTGTTATATATATTTCAATGTTTATCTCTGAATGATTAGGATTCTATTTTTAACATAATAATGATTCATAATACATCATGTAAAAATTAATAATAATTCCTTGATATATCATCAAATATCCATTCTGTGTTCACATTTCTGATTATTTTATAAATAACTTTTAAAAAATGTTTAATTCAAAATTAAGATTTATACATTGTGTTAATCTTATTAACCCTTATTAACTCTCTTTTAATCTATAGTTTACTTCCTGGATTTCTCTTTGTTTTTTTTCCTGTAATTTACTTTTTGGAAGATCAGTTACATGTGAAAAACTTTATTTTTAAAAACTTTCATTTATTTGTCTGGCCAACAGGTATATTTTTAATTTGGAACATAAAATACATTAAAAAATCAAAGACTCTAATACCCATTAACTCATAAAATACTCATTAACTACTTACTGTACATCTACTATGTGCCAAGTGCTGGAAATATAATGATAAATCAGAATTAGAAGAGGAAAAAGAAAACCACAGTTGAGCTAAATTCACTTATCTTGCTTTGTTTGCCTCAACATAGGTAATGGAAGAAAATATTTAATTGGGGTTTGTTTTGTGCCAGAAACAGGTAAATACTATTTTCTCATTTAGAAGTTGAAGAAGCTGAATTGTAGAGTTTTTACCATAAGATGTCCTAGTGTGACTTGATCTCAGGCAGTGTAGCTCTGAAGTCTAACCAGGGCTTGGCAAACTATTTTTGTAAAGGGCCAGATATTTAATGTTTTATTTGTATACCGCATATGATCTCTGCTGCTGCTGCTTCTCCTCCTTCTTCTTTTATAACCCTTAACAAATATAAAATTTAGTTTCAGCTTGCAGGTCATATAAAAACAGACCATAAGGCAAATTTGTCTCACAGCTCATAGCTTTCTAACTAACCATCACACTGCCTCTTGGCAACATCGTAATTGTCACACTCAGAATAACCTCAGAAATTATGGCATCTTAAGGGCTTAATTCTTCCTTTGTCATGCGTTGGATCTACCTCCTCTTGTTTTCAGCATCCATAAAAGTATGCAAC
Source organism: Homo sapiens (assembly GCF_000001405.40). Classification (NCBI taxonomy): domain Eukaryota; kingdom Metazoa; phylum Chordata; class Mammalia; order Primates; family Hominidae; genus Homo; species Homo sapiens. The sequence continues at coordinate 79,652,280 of NC_000013.11, forward strand.
AGTAGGTTCAAGTTCCCAGGTAATTTCTCTATCAGATATATCCCCTTAGGGCCTGGGTAAAGGAATATAAACAGCTCAGAACTCAAAACCTCTAAATATCAAGGAAATCTAAATACAGGGGTAGTTGATCTGAATTATTTCCACGGTACCCAAGAATGAGTGGCCTAAATAAGCAGGGGAAGTGAAATATTTCCTCTTCACAAATGAAGAGGGCAACTTTGACTTTTGTGGTCACAACTCCTCTGCAGGGTGGTCTTTGTTGTTTAGGTGGGAATCCACTCAGCTGTTGGGAGTGTGAAAGAGGCTCGAAGAGATGCTTTCTGATGGTGAAAGACATCCAGAGAAGAACGCTACATCTGATTTTGTTTTTTGAGACAGAGTCTTACACTGTTGCCCAGGCTGGAGTGGTGCGATCTTGGCTCACTGCAGCCTCCGCCTCCCAGGTTCAAGCAATTCTCCTGCCTCAGCCTCCTGAGTAGCTGGGGCTACAGGCACCTGCCACCACGCTTGGCTAATTTTTGTGTTTTCAGTAGAGATGAGGTTTTGCCATGTTGGCCAGGCTGGTCTTGAACTCCTGACCTCAAGTGATCTGCCTGCCTCGGCCTCCCAAAGTTCTGGGATTACAGGCATGAGCCACCGTGCCCAGCCCATCTGATTTTAAAGAAAGACTTTCTTCTGTGAACTGTGAATGAGGAGGGCTAGACACAGTCAAGGGCCTGCTCATGGTCATGGTTCTACCACTGAAGGGCTGTCAGTTCATGGTTCTTTCTGGTCTATACATCTGAAAAATCATAAGCTAGGCTAGGATCCCATGGTAAAAACTGAGACTCAATGTAACCCCATTGGAGACCTGGTATCTCCAGCTACATTTATTGGGCATGCAAAGTGCCATAAGCCATGCTAAGCAATTTACACAGTGTTTCACTTGATCCTCTTACCTTAATGTGATTAGCGTCATTATGTCCATTTTATATATGAGGAAATTGAGGTGTTAAAGATTAAACAACTTACTTAAAATCATAGAACTAGTAAGACTGATACTCAAGTCCAGATATGTCTGATTACAAAGTTTCAATGGATAATTTTTGAGTATCCAGTGGTGAAACTCCCCATGGATATTCACCCAATCAAAGGAATCAAATACCTTCTAAATACCAGGCATTGCACTGGGGATATCATGAAGAACAAAACAAAGTCCCCGCCCTTACAGAGGAATGTACCCTCTTCTCCCTTATGGATCACTGACCCCACCTTTCATGTATCTTTCTACCTGTGTGTGATAGCATTCATTATACACATGGTCCATACTCATGTAATTAGATACACACACCTGCTGTCTTCTTTTACATTTTCCACCAACAGGAGAAACCAAATGTAGAGAGTGATGATAAACACGAATATCTTGACAATGAGTCCACACGTCACCTGAAGAGGACCCTGATTCACATTGACTGACTGGAACCTCAGTTTCTCTAGCTATAGAGAGGATTAATTACACTTGACAGCTACTGTCAAGCGAAACAGAAAGCTTATACTTAGAAACATCCACAAGGATGAATATGTATTAAATATTTTGAAATGTGGATGGATATTATCTATTTGTATATATATATGCATTCTTGCCATTTCTTACTCAATTTATTTCCTATTTTTCATCTCCATTGATACTAGAATATACTTTTTAAATTTGTAGAATCAGGCCTGTGATTTTACAGTCACAAACATATAAGCAAGCTACAGTTCTTTAAAAATGTGAACTACTCAGGTATCAACTTTGATCAGATTCAATTGTTTGATCCAAACTTTGGTAAGGTTCAATCACCTGATCTATTGCAAGGTTTCCAAGTTCATGTGGTCTTAGAGTTTTACATCATTTAGAAACTCAGAGCGCCAAGTAATCAGATAGCCTGTATTTAGCTTGTAGTTCTACCACTTTCAAACAGTGGACTTGGAGAATTTGCTTAATCTCAAATCTCAATTTCCTCACTAATAAAATGGGGTAATACTACCTCATAAAGTTGTGAGGAAGATGATAAAAAGTGCTTATTAGTATCTGTCACACATAAGTGATAAATGTTAGTCATTATTAATATTTAAAATGACATTATTAAAATGTATAACTCATAGTCTAATTTTGAATTGTAATGAACTGATTTTGATCCTGAATTTTGATCCTCTTGGTCTATTTTTTTGTTTTATAACTGTTCATTCATTTAAAATAATTTTATTTAGCTTTTTTTCAACCTGTATAATATTTTCTCTACTGTACTTGTCATGGAAAAAAAGAAGGGAATAAGCTAGTTTCTGCTCTGAGGTAATGATAATTTTGCTGGAAGGTTAGTGTTACAGATTTGTTCTTCTCAGTCTTTGATATGCAGGAGAGCATGTGAGGATCTTGATAAAATGCAGCCTCTGATTCAGCAGGTCTGGAATGGTGCATGAGAGTCTGGATTTCTAGCAAGCTCCCAGGTGATGTCAATGCTGCTGGTCCACAGAACACACTTGGAATGGTATAAACAGCTGTAGGATTTTGAGGACAGAGGTTAATGTTGACTCTGCCTTTTCCATGATATTAACAAAAGAAAGACACAAACAACATGCACTTTTTTATACATCATTTCATAGGTAGAGGTTCAAAGTTTTTTCACGATAATGAAAACAATGATATTTTACCAGGAAGAGTGGGGCAATGCTTGCAACTCATTCACAACAATCTTGCAAACTGTAAGGCATATCTTTGTCCTGGGCTCTAATTTTTCTGTAAGTTTCTAAATATTCTAATGAATATCTACTAGATTTTTACCATGTACGTCTTCTGCTGTAAGTCACCTCAAATTTTCTTTACTTGAAAGAGGTAAAATATGAACAAATGCATTCCATTCTATTGTTTTAGTCAGATAGCACTGATTTAAAACATTGAAGGCTTTAAGTTGAAAGTTAAATTCAAGTGAAAGAGACCATCATTAAATAATTCTAATGATGTGGCATCTTTTTATCTGTTGAATCAGAAGTTCTTATTTTTTTTGTGGGGGAAAAAAAGCTATGTGTTAGAGCCATATTTAAAATGCAATCTTCATATATTTTCATTTAGGTACACTGTATTGTAAAGATCAGTTAATAAACTATGATAATGCTTGTTAGAAATGACGAGTATTAATAAGAAATGACTAGAACACTGTGTGGAAGATTCTGCTAAGATACATCTTCAGACTCAAGTGCTGGAATGTCAGCAAGCATTGTCAAAACATTGCTGAGTTGAAAGAATGATTTTGGTGACTCTCTCTTACTTATTTCACAAATATCTCTCTCCTATTCACTTTTATCTAAAGAGTTGCTATTATTTCTGCTTTTGTCTGACTTTACTTTCATCTTACATATCAGGGACTGAAACCCTCATTCCTCTAATTGTGTCTGACATGAAGCTGTCAATCTTATCTCCAAGTCTTTTATTGAAATGTTCCAGATGTGTGGGCAGAATCTAGGATTGTAGGCGCGACTGGCCCCTGATTCTTAAATGGTCAGTGCATCCTCTTTTTCCCTAGCTTCCAGGGCTGTCCACCAAAGTCATGCATGTAATGATACTTCAAAGCACCTTTTTTAAAATCTAGCCTTTTATTTTCCTTCTTCAGAAAATGACTAGCATAGTGTGTCATTTTCTCTTATTGTCGGTATGCAAGTCTCCAATTCCCAAGGGAGCACACAGATAGATTTCTCCCAAAGAGTTTTACATTTTCAGCTCACCAGTCTAAGCTTCTTTGAATTGGGTTTAGAACAAAATTGCAAATATTATTTCCATTTTCACATAGGCCAAAAGTCAAATATAAGTATTCTAAAGGGGAGTGTCAAAAATCTCCTTGATCAAATGCCCATTCTTTCATTATTTGTAAATGACCTTTAAAACTTTAGATCACCAGAGAGCTCCCTTTTAGGTACAGAGGCACACATATTTTTATTTTACTTTTTTTTTGCAAAAGTTTCCCCCTTTCTGTTCTTTTCCAATGTGGACTCTGGGCAGATGTATAGACCAAATGATTCATTTCCAAAATGTCCCACTCCAATTGAACTGTATTCATTTTAGACTCTCAGATCAATGGGGCTTGTCTAACAACTGGATGTACTCAGTGCTCTTCTGTGTTTACTTGTTTTGTTTTTAATATCATAAGATCAAGACAATATTGCTACTTTCCCACCCCACATTTCCTTTTTGTTTTTATAGCTCCAACGTGTTTTTCCCTAGTGGACATAATTAAGTCTAGAGTTTGTTGCTCCAATATCCTTCCTCTACTTCTGAGTGATTAAAAAAATCAGTAAGGTATGCAAAGACATTATTGAACATTCTTCATTTCACCAAATAATACAAATAACAAAATTTGATTAGTTGTGGCTCCTTAACACTTTTTGCCCGTATTTATACCAGTTTTACATATTTTCCCATTCAACCACTTATTTGTCTCTCTCTTTTACTTGACTATATGCACCTGGAGGCATGGACTCCATCTTGACTTTCTCCAGTGAAGACAGGTACTCAGTGGGAGCTTAGTTCATTGCCATCAAATGGCTAAAAATATACTCTTACAAAAATCTTTTTATGCCTTAGTTCAAGTTCTAAAATAAAGTAACCGTAGATAATTTTGTTAAATGTTAGTGAGACAAGATCTTTGTTGTCCAGGCTGGAGTGCAGTGACACAGTCCTGGCTCACTGCAGCCTTAACCTCCTGGGCCCAGGTGATCCTCTCACCTCAGCCTCCTGAGTAGCTGGGACTACAGGTAACAGGCATGTGCCATCATTCTTAGCTAACTTAAAAACAACAACAAAAAAAACCCACCTTTTTTTTTTTTTTTGAGACAGTGATATGGTTTGGATGTTCATCCCCTCCAAATCTCATATTGAAATTTGATTCCCAGTGTTGGAGTGGGGCCTGGTGGGAGGTGATTGGATCATGAGGTCAGATCTGTCATGAATGGTTTATCTCCATCTTCTTGGTGATAAGTTCTTGCTCAGTTAGTTCACATGAGATCTGGTTGTTTAAGAGTCTGGGGCCTTCCCTTTCTCTCTCTTGCTTTTGCTTTTGCCATGTGATGTGCTTGCTCCTGCTTTGCCTTCTGCTATGATGGTAAGCTTCCTGAGGCTTCACCAGGAGGTGAGCAGATGTTGGTGCCATGCTTGTATAGCCTGTAGAACCGTGAGCCAATCAAACCTGTATTCTTTATAAATTACCCAGTCTCAGGTATTCTTTTATAGTAGTCCAAAAGTGGACTAATAGAGATGGAGTCTCACTATGTTGCCCAGGCTGGTCTTAAACTCCTGGGCTCAAGCAATCCTCCTGCCTTGGCCTCCTAAACTGCATGGATTACAGGTGTAAGCCACTTTACCCAGCCTTATTTTTTTTTTAATTATAACAAGGAATTACATATGCCTGGAGAAGAAGGCAATAGTTAATGTGGGTAGTCAGTGCTTTTCCCACCTTAATGTGAACATGAATATAGACACAGGATAGAGCTTAAGATTCTGCATTTCTAAGAAGAACCCAGGTCATACTGCTATTCGTGTTCTAGGGACCACATTTTGAGTGGAAGACCCAGTGGGGCTAAGGCTTTCTCTGTTTTCAAATCACAACTAATGATTGGCGTTGACTCATAATTACTTTTTTATTTTTTCCAACTACTAAGAACTGACATAAAAACATTACACATGACAGAAATACAAAATGTAGGGATCAAAAGTTCCCAATATTCTTTCCTCCTAAAGATAGCTGCTGTCAAAATTCAGTGTGCAGTCTTCTAAATTATTTTATATTTATATTATATATATATGACTATTTTTCAGAAAACAAACTCATACAAAACATTCTGTGGTAGCTTTTTTACTTTCTAGCATATTTGGGGCTTTCATCCTATGTAAGAACCGATAGGCCATTCATTCTATTTAAAAGATAGTTAATACATGCCACAGATGTTGTTTAGAAGTCATGTCACTAAGAAGATATTTATGTAAACAAAGCTTTTAAAAATAAAAACAATAGCATTTTTGGCAGGAATCAATGTTATGTAAATGAATAGTTTAAAACAGGAAGAAGTAAATTTGTCTCTAGATCCCACGATGATGACACTTTTAAAGGAATGAACAGGCAGAGAGTTAAACTAGACACTCTGGTTGGGTATAAAGAAGACATGATCATTTCCCTGTAAGAAATGGCAATCTCCCAGCCTTCCCTGGAGGCCTAGTGTGGGTATCTAATGACAGTGATGAGATAAGGATATAAAGATATAAAGATGCCCTGGGTTAGCCCAAGACACACCACTCAGGGTTGGGACATCAGTGATGCCCTGAGGGCAGATGCCCACCCCTCACCCTTTGCCCATACACCAGGGCTGGAGTCACTAGAAGCCTTTGCCTCAGGTGTATGGGGGTGAGTTGCACCAGGCAGCTACATGGCAGCAGCTGATTTTTCCTGAGCCTGAAGCAGTGCGACTTCCATGCAGTAGCTATTTTGGATGCTGAGAGCTGCACTACAGCTCCAGCTGAGAGGCCCACATTCCCCTGAAGGTGAGGTGGGTGGCACATGTGACGGGAGCCCCCATCACCCCTGACATATACAGCAATTCTCCACCTAGGAAGAGGGGGTGGGTATTGGAGGAGAGGAGCTGTTTCTTATAAACAATAGGCAGAATAAATTAAAAATTGCTCTTCAAATAGCTATTTAGGCTGTAGGGACATGTGTGTTGGCTTGAAGCTGTGCCTTCAGTTCTGCCCCAGGAATTCATAAACGCAAATATCTATGTCCTTTCCCTGTCTTGTACTTAAGAATAAGGATTTCTGGCCAAAAGATTCTCTAAATTCCAGTCGGAATTGGAAGGTCCAGCCTGAGATCTTAGCAATTCATTTGACTGAGAATCCTTTTCCAATGAAAAGACGCTCTTCCCTCCCTCCCAGTGAGGCTGGAAATATGATAGATTCAGTTAATCTTCAACAGGCAATTTCAGACATTTCAGATCTACTTCTGCTGTGTGATTAATTGCTTCAGAGTTTGGCAAGTATTAAGTGGGAGAGTTCTGTGGGGAGGAAGTCGGAGTGCAGGCTGCAGCTGGCCCGCTGTTTGTTTCTGCTCAGGCTGGGCCTCTGTTCTCCCTCAACAAAGCACAGCTGGTTTATGTCTGTCACAATCAATGGGATGACATTTCCGAACTGGTAATTACCAAAAGGATTCCTGTTGATGCCTTTTGGAACTGCCAATCTTAAAGGTAGCTCTTGGCTCCTGCTGGGTACAGTATGCCTACATTTGGCTTTTTATCTCCCTTTTCTTACTTGAACTGAAAGAAAGGTTTGTGTGGAGACTTGTAGCTCACTGCCTCGTACCTCTTTTCCTTCCCTTCCCATCTACATGTTAAAGAATATCACAAAGACTGGAAAATCCTCTGCATGCCCTGAATAGCACTGGCTGAGGAGTCATCTAGAAAAAACACTAATGAAAAACTAATGTGCATTGTAAATGAATGTATTTATATTTTCATGTTCTATGGAGAAAAAAGTACAGGCTATTATTTTCTAGGGGCTTTGAATTTGCTGGATTCAGCAATCTAGGAAAAATACTCCATGTTGACATATGTATATTTCTTTATATTTTATTACAGTCTTTTAAGCACCAGGATGGCATTTAATAGACAATTTTTGAAGGAAAATAAATAGTGCTCCAGCCGGATGGTTCTACGGAAGGGGCAAACCAGTAGACATCACAGAGGAAGATGTTTATTCCTTTTACTCAACAATGATTTACTGGGGCATGCTATATGCCAGGCATTGTGTAAATGCTGAGAATTAGAACAGTACCAGCTGGAGTCTGGGGTGAAAGTTGGCATAACACTATTCCAATGGCTTCCTCAAAGAACCTGAGGGACACTCTCAGTCTACCTATAGTTGCCCTAGCAATCCCAGACTTAAGCATACACTAGTTTTTCTCACTCATGTTTTGATGATAAAATGGCCATTGCCTCTGAGCCTTGGAGTCAAAAGAATTAAGACACATTGACGCATGTTAGAAAGTGTGGGAGCAGGAGTGTCAGCTAAGAAGGACAGGCAAGGAGAAATTCAGGGCAAAGTAGAGATTTAAAATGCTAACAAAAATGAAAAATACATGAGAAAGAAGAGCAAAGAAGAAAACCAAAGATTACTTCATACCGATTTCTTTAAAAAATGAAGCACTTTGATAAGAGTGTCAAGACTGAAAGTAGATGAGTGGTTACCAGGTGGGTGGTGGAAAATTGGGTTAACTGCTAATGGGTTTAGGGTTTCTTTTTGGGGTAATGAAAACGTTTCAAAATTAGATAGTGGTCACAGTTGTACAACTCTGTAACCATACTGAAAGCTACTGAATTATACAGTTTAAAGGTAAAGTTTATGTTACATGAATAACTCAAATATTTCTGAAGCCCCCGAAGGGAAGGCAACCAGTCTACTAGTTCCAGTTGATGAGTGGAATCTGCCATATTCTCTCTCTCTCCCTCTCTGTTTTCCTTTTGCTGATGTCCTCTGCTCTTGAAATGACTGGAGGTATCTTTACTGTTAGAAGTGCCTGAGATCCATCATGGAAAGCCCAGCATCCATACTAAAGTGTCACATTCCAATTCTTTCAAAGCCAGTACTCTTAGAGGGTGCCAGACTGTTGCTAGCTTTCATGTCAATGTAGAGAGAAAGAGTCCTTCCAGTTCTACATGTGGCTGACCCTCGCCAGACTGTAAGTCCTACTGTTTCTGATTCTTCATCGTGGATGATTATAAATTAAAAGCTTATACTGACATTCTTTTAAAATGCAATTTCTTCTTCTTCTTTTTTTTTTTTTTTTTTTGTATTTTTAGTAGAGACGGGGTTTCACCGTGTTGGCCAGGATGGTCTTGATCTCCTGACCTTGTGATCCACCTGCCTTGGCCTCCCAGAGTGCTGGGATTACAGGCGTGAGCCACTGTACCTGGCTAAATTTTTGTATTTTTAGTAGAGATGGTGTTTTGCCATGTTGGCCAGGCTGGTCTTGAACTCCTGACCTCAGGTGATCCACCCTCCTCAGCCTCCCAAAGTGCTGGGATTATAGGTGTGAGCCACCGCGCCCAGCCCTTTAAAATGCAATTTCTATGAGTTATTGTGAATTTTCTTTCACACCCAGGCTGTGGAGGGGATGGAACAAAGAAATGAGAGGAAAATCCTGTCTTACCTCATGGAACTCTTTCGATACATAGAAAAAGGTATAAGCTTTTCAAAGATAGGCACTTTGTCTGAGTCCACTGTCTTCTCTAGTGTTAGTAAAATCTTGTGCCAATAAAAACCCATTAGATATATCAGAATGTATTATTTTCAATGTTTGTTACAGGAAGAAGGAAGCAAACTAGTATTCATTAAAGGTCTAATATGTGCCAGATACTCTCAATACGCTATTTCATTTAATCTTTACAATGGCCTACAAAGCCTTACAGAGGAGGTAATCAGATCTAAGAAAAGATAAGCTGTTTTACCAGGTCATACCATGAGTAGGTGATGAAAATCTGGGTTTCACTCCAGATCTACTTACTTAGACTCCATTCTCTTTTCTCATGCAGCAAGGCTGACTTTTAGGACAAACCTAGAGAAGGTTATTTTAAAGTAGCAGCACCTTGGCCAGAGAGAAGCCTAGCGATTTATAGTATGCTTGCTTTTTTAGAGAATATATCTGCTGAAAGAATGGGAAAATCATTTGGCCATGGATTAAGTTAATTGAATTTATTCTGAGGTTAGAATACATTTAGATCTACCTTTACTGGGGAAAAACAACCATTACTAAGCCTTAGGGGAAATAAAAGGCTTGTTAAAAAATTTGTCACACATTTTTGACATCAGATATTTCTTTGAAATTGCATTCAGGGGCTGGGTGCAGTAGCTGACGCTATAATCTCAATACTTTGGGAGGCTGAGACAGGAGGATTGTTTGAGCCTAGTAGTTTGAGACCAGTCTGGGAAGCAGAAAAAGACACTGTCTCTAAAATAAAAAATAAAAAAAAATTTAGTCAGGCATCGTGGCATGTGCCTGCTACTTGGTAGGCTGAGGCAGTGTGGCAGGAGGATTGCTTGAGACCAGAAGTTCAAGACTGCAATTAGCTATGATTGTGCCACTGATCTATAGCTTGGTGATGAAGCAAGATCCTGCCTTAAAAAAAAATTATACTTAATGCAAACAAGCAATAAATTACATATATCTTAAAATATGGGTTTAAAAACAAAATCATTTAATTAACACTTCAGATTGTATTTAACCTACGATCATCATTTTATTTTAGAAGATTTAAAGAGACACCCAAATGTCTGCTTCTTAGACATTTAAATAAGTAAAGTTGGTTGTTGAGCTTCTTAGGATAGTTTTTCAAGCATTCTTTTGAATCTTTCTCTCTTATGTTCTTTATTGAAGCTAGTTTAACTTTAGCCAAGTTGTTACTTTCTAGGAGACATCATTTTCTTTCCTGCTGCCACTGCGGATCACTTAGAAAAGTGTTTGAACAAACAGCTGTGTTATCTTTCTAACTGGGCATTGAGCGCTCCTGTTGCCTAAGGACCAATCTTTTTAGAATTCATACTCAATAGAGTCTTCATGAGAAACTGAAATGTAGTAAAATAAATCATAAAAAGTCTGTTTACTCTAGGTCAGATATTGGGAACTAGTGATATGTAGCCATTAAGGTGAGTGGAAGTAAACATCCTAACTATCCGGGATAAAGAAAGTTCACAATAATTTTTCTTGCTCCTTATCTCTCTTTCAATGAGGTGTCACCAGATGGCAGACTGTGGCATGCAGCCACTTCCCCTGCTATGTACTCATCGGCAGATCTATGTCAGCTTACTTTAAGTCTAGCTTTCCTGTTTAACAGTAATAGAATAACTAGTGATAACTTATTTAATCAATACATTTTCTTTTCCTAATATACTTTAAATGTGATAGAAAGTAGCTTTATATAGTATTAACCGATTTGGTTCTGTCTCCCTTCCTTTTCCTGTCTTACTAATAAACCTTTGATCATTAGAGTTCTGCGTATCTGAAAAAATCATGATACCGAGCGAAAAGAGTTACACAGAGTAAGAGATGATTTCATGGGCTTGGTTTGTCACATTATTTATTTGGTACGTTTTATTAGAATTTTTCCCAAAGCACATTTCATCTAATTATAAAGCATTCTGTCAGATCTATATATTTTATAATATTGGTCATGTATCTTTAATCTTTGAAGGAAAACTATTATATAACTTCAATACTGACATCATCGTAACAGGTTGACTGGTTCACAAAACAAGTTGCACAGCTATAGCTAAAGGGAACAGTACCAAAGACTAAAAACACTACAGACAGCAAGTTCTATATTTAGACTTGACATGATATCACGGCCAGGGAAACATTTTACATAAGCATTTTTAAAGCATGCTTGAAAGTTTCTCTGACATGATATTAGTTAGAGAACCTCCTAGTGATAGCATGACATGATTCTTTGGTGCTAAATGTATGTAGTATGCTGCACATAAGCAACTGGCTGTATATAAGCAACTGGCTTACAAAAATAACTACATGGATATTAAGTAAAAAACCTGATGGAAAATCTTCAAATGAGTACATTCTTTCCCTAGGTAAAATGTGTTAACCAATGTAGTTGTTCCAATAAATTCATTTCACTACATAATTACTTTTATTTGTAAAAACTTCTGTAATAGTCTTTCTACAGTAAATACACTTCTCCTAGGGATGGGTATTGAACACAGTGTGTGAAAGGCAGTATGCCATAAAAAGGAACAAGATCATATCCTTTGCAGGGATATGGATGGAGTTGGAAGCCATTATCCTCAACAAACTAATGCAGGAACAGAAGACCGAACACTGCATGTTCTCACTCATAAGTGAGAGCTGAATGATGAGAACACAGGGACACATAGTTGGCAACAACACACACTGGGGCCTGTGGGAGAACGGAGGGCATCAAGCAAAATAGCTTATGGATCCTGGGCTCAATACCTAGGTGATGGGATGATATGTGCAGCAGACCACCATCACACATGTTTACCTACATAACAAACCTGCACATCCTGCCCATGTACCCCCGAACTTAAAAGTTGAGTGGGGTGGCGGGGGAGGAGGCAGTACGCCCAGAACTTTGGATAGAACAATGTGTAAGATGCCGTTAGTTGTATCTCTGAGGATTTTAATGTAATGAGGAAGAAGGACAACAATATATTGTGATTAAAATAGAATCTGATTCAAAGAGGTATGAAAGTACTAAAGAGGAAATATCTAACTCCTACAGGCAAACTATCTGGGTAGATTTTTCAAAGGACACATGCTCATCTTCATCTCTAATTCCCATATATGCCCCCTCCCACTTGAGGTTGGGTCAGACTCTTCCAAAGACAGCCTTCCCATGCCCAATATATTCTAACATCTCTCCCTCCTGCACTCATCAGAATCTCGGTGGTAGTGGAAGATTAGTTTAAAAAGTGCTTCCAGATCTTTCCTCTTTATGGACAACCAAACTTAATCTTGTTTTACTTTTAAATGGTGTGGTCTTGGTAATTTGTCATGTGTGTCTAGTGGTACATGTTGTGGCATGGGCTTAGGGGGAGTATGAGGAAAGTCCGAGGGATTTCTGCAGAAATTGTTCCAGATATTTTTCCTTTTTAATGACTTTAAAATAGAGATATTTGTCAATGTATTTGGGTAACTCAGGCAAAAATCTGGGAGACTTTGCTAAAGACCTCCTCAACTGTCTTTGCCCAGGCTTTCTGTACAGTTCTCCTGGCTGCTTTATTGTTTTCACTAATGGTTTGCGGTTAATTCCTAAGAAAGCCAAAAATAAATGCGCCAAAAGCCAACGAAACGAGCCTACATCTTAAAATTCAACCTAATGGCATAATGATGATGGTTCTACTTAAGCAAATATTAAAGACAAAAAAATTATTTATGTTGAGCCAAACCACTCCAACTATCCAAGGGATGGTAACATAATGAAGTGATCCTCATTGAATTCTGCTGAGGGTATCAACCTCACAGTCACGTATTCCCTCCTGACCACAGGGAATTACTATAACGATTTCCAGAGTTAATGCAAGATAGTTGTTAGAGTAAATCTTCTTAAAATCACAACAGACGCAGTCCAGCAGATTAATAGGACTCCTTGAAAAGAACCAATCCATAACTTGGTACAGAAGGATTTTATGAATATAAAGTCTAAATACTGCATCATGAAACAGTGCATTCAAGTATCAAGGCTCCATTTCTAAATCCTGAAGTGCTGATTGGCTCTCAGAGACATCATTTATTATTTATTTTTGAGACAGGATCTTGCTTTGTCACTATGCTAGGCTGGAGTGCCTTAGAGCCATCACAGTTCACTGCAGCCTCCACCTCCTGGGCTCAAGCAATCCTCTTACCTCAGCCTCCCAGAAAGCTATGACTATAGATGCATACTACCACAACCAGCTAATTTTTCTTTCTTTCTTTCTTTTTTTTTTTTTTTTGTAAAGACAGGGTATCCCTATGTTGCCCAGGCTGGTCTTCAAATCCTGGACATAAGCTGTCCTCCCACCTTAGCCTCCCACACTGCTGAGATTAGAGGCATGGGCCACTGCACTTGACCCAAAGACATCATTTTAAAACCAACTTGATTGAGGTATAACTTAGATTCAAAATTTTCACTTATTGTAAGTGTACAATCCAGTGACTTTTAGTACATTTACAGAATTGTTCAAGTACCACCACTATCCTGTTTTAGCACATTTCCATCACCTGAAAAAGTTTCTCCTTATTTGTTTAAGGAAAGGACCCACTGCCACTTCCCATCCTAGGCAACTGCTGATCTGCTTGTATCTCTATAAATTTGCCTTTTCTGGACATTTGATATAAATGGAACCACGCAGCGTGTAGTCTTTTGTGTCTGCCTTTTTTGACATAGTGCATTGTGTTTTAGCTTCATACACGTTACAGCATATGCCAGTTGTTTGTTTTTATTGCTGTATAGTATTCCATAACTGTTGTAGAGTTATATATGTATGGAATCTCACGTGTGGAATGTATAAACATCTTGTGTACACATTTTACAATTCTTAGTGTTCGTCCATCAGGTAAAAATGAGCTACGTGTTCATGAGCCCTGGCACTGCTGGAAAATTGTTGCCATAAATGGTCATAAAAACAGACTCATGCCATGTCATGCTCAACATCATTCTCAACATCTCCACAGAATTTGCAATTGAGTTTTAAAATGGAGTCTCAATTGCTTTTGGAAAATAAGAATCTATTAACTAAGATTTTTGTTTGTTTTCTTTGGATAGGTCACATATTATTTACTTAAGACACGTATATCTGATGAACCTGCTAACATCCAGATTATAGTTTTCAGAGACAAATATTAAACGGATGGATTTGAAGAAATTCAGAAATTAAGAAAAGCTTGGAGCTTCTAGTCTACCTGGGTTCCTGAGGACTGGACATTGTAAATTTTCTGAGGACCCTGATGCCTTAGGAGTGTGGAATTATCAAGAGAAAGTGTGGCATGGGTGGGACGTTAAAGACACCATGGTGTTTCACTTGGGAATATGGGACAAGGCTCTGGCCAAAGGCACAAAGCACCCCAAGAGACAGAACCTGGTGGAATGTTAATAAAATAAATAACACAACAATGAAACAACTAGGAAAAAAGCTTGTAAGCATATTGTTGGGTGAAAGGAGTATAAATTCTAGTTTATGTTTTGGCTAGAAGGGGGCAGGGTAAAAAAGTGATTCTTATTTTCCCCATATTTCTCTTTTTTCTAATTAGTTACAGATGTTTTTATTATAACATTTAAGTAATTAAGGAGAACTCTTTGAGTACAGAAAATAGTCAAATGAGGCAATTTGCTCCAATTTTAAAAAGAGTTTGGGAAGTGGAAGTCAGAAAATGTGGATTTCAGCTTTGCATTTTATTGGTGAGCTTCCTTTTAAACTTCTGTCATCCCATGTGTGAAATAATAGTAAAATCTATCTTATATTTTTTGGTATAGTTTTGGATGTACTCAAATAAAATAATACACAAGACTCTTAGTTTAGTCTGAAGTAGAGCTAAAACTTATTGGCCTTTGTTCATCCATTCATTTATTCAACAAACGTTTATTAAGGTTGTGCCACATGTTGAGCATTGTGGAATATAGTGTAAGATGGACCTTATTTCTTCTAAGGACTATAGTGTTATGGGGGAGACAGTTAATAATTACACAAATAGCAATATAATTACTATTATGGTAGGTGGTATAAAGAAAAAGTTCAAAGAACTTATATGACAGGGAGATCAAACCTTGGCTAGGGCTTTGCCAACAGTGTCTTCCAATTCTTTCAAGAACACTGCATAGTACTGCATAACACAGTAGTAGATAACACCTCCATTTTATAGATAAAAAGACTGAGACTTAGAGAGATGTGTTGGCTTCATTTCTTTTCTCCTTAACAGTGCTTTTCTTATATCCCCTGCACCATGCTGGACTTAGAATTAGGAGCTCTTGAATGCTTTTTTGTTGATTTATTTCGTGAATGGTTGTGGTATTCCTAATCCTCAGAAAACTTACAGGACTAAAGACTGCTTGCTCTCGTAATCTGAAAAAAGGACCTGGAGTTACAAAGGGAAGTAACTGTTTCCCAATTTGACCATTAAAAAATTCCTAAACAAAGCATCCTTGTTTAGTGCCATATCACAAGACTATTTCCTAGAATCCTTGGGAAGAAATATCCATAGTTCAGAGTTTAGTGGATTGAGAAAAAGAATATAGTGCTCTGTAGGGAGATTCAGGATAATGTACCAATGAATGTGTGATCTGAAAGTAGGGATTCATCTCCTTGAATACTAAATGATACATTTAACATTGGTGTCATTTACTGCACATGTGTGCAGGCAAGTATTGAGGAAGCTGCAGTAGTTTTCAGCCTCAGTTGGCCGTATGTAAATGATAAAAGGTGATAGAATCTGGAGAGAAAATGGCAAGGCAACATTTCATTCTGTGTGTCCCTTTGAGGTGGGAAAGTTTAGGATTAAGGTAGGATGATAAGATAAAAAGGGGCACAAACTTCTCTCACCCCTATTTATGCTTAGAAAAGTACAGCTTCCTTATAATTCAAAGTGCATTGAAAACTTTCACGTGGCCCATAATTTAGATAAGAAAAATCAATTTCTGTCTGAGCTCTTTTCAGTAATCTATCTGCTTCTGAGTTCCATTGGGGGTGGTGGCACTGTTGCTTCCTGCAGGCATAGTGTACTTTAGAGAGATCCTGACCTTGTGACCCTGGAGCTCAGGGAGCTGAATGAGAAAAGCAAGAAAACAGTGCTGGACTCAGAAGTAGGGAGATGCCAGATGTCTTTCTTGGACCAGGGGGTCAAGGTCAAGTTCTATAAGGAGAAAAGGACTTGGATGGAAAATGAAGTGAGCCAAGAGAAAAGAAGAGAGGCACAAGTAGAATTATCCTTCGATAATTGGATGTCAGACAGAGCTCAGGTCTCAAATTCTTCAGACGTGGGGCAGATGGGCTGTCTGGGACATTACAGTTACCTCTAAGATACAATGCCACTTTCCTGCCAGAATTTTGGTTTTGCCATTACTTGAAATAGGTGGCTGATCGGACAATCCAGTGCCTCAGACAGACATGTTCAGATAGAGGCAAACCTTCCACAGTATGGAATCTGAAACTATCTCTTCATGTGAGGAATCATACTACAGAGACTCTTTAGTGGCAGGAAAAAAAAATAAACTCTGAGTGTCTCATTTATTGGCAATTAGTATCATTGGAAATATGATTTATAACAGCAAAATGGAAAAATAGAAATTATTTGTGTTCTCTTGCTCCCTGTCCTTGACTTGGCATCCTTGAACCATGCAGTCAGTGAATCCCTCAAATTCCATGCTAAAATTTGTTTATGTGAACATTTTTCTGGGGATATAGATGGTACATAGCTATAATCAGTTTCTCAAATGGTCTGTTACCTAAAACAGTTTAAGAGCCAATCTTATTCTATTTGTTTCCATTCTTGACCCACTTTCCTTCTTACTCTACATATTTTCTTTGGAAAATATCCACTTTCATAGCTTCATGGCTTCAACTACTCTCTGTGTGCTATGACTGATGTCCGTATTAACCTCCAACTCTTTCCCTACTTAGCAAACTCTGGATCTGATTGTATAACTACCTTACAGATATTTCTATTTGCATGTTCCTTAGACACTTTCTACACTTCACATCCTCAGTTGAACATTTAATCTCATAAGTGTTCCTCCTCCTGGTTGTGCCATCCTGGTGAGTGGGGTCATCACCCAAATAGCTTCCCAGTTTCTTCTTCCCACTCTCTGTCCATATTTAGTGGTCAGCAAAGCCAGTCAATGATCTTTCACAAGTACCTCTCATACATGTTCCCTCCTCCATATCCCCCAGCCACCCCCTTGTTTTGAGCCCTTCTTTTGTCTTGCTTAGACTCTTTCAGGAGCATTCCAACTGCTCTCGACACTGCAAGGCTTGCTTCTACCAGCCCATCCCCACCCTACTGCCAACACGATCCCCTGCTTTAAAACCAGTGCCTGGTTGAGCTCACACCCGTAATCCCAATACTTTGTGAGGCCAAGGCAGGAGGCTTGATTGAGCACAGGAGTTCAAAACCAGCCTGGGCAATATAGCAAGGTCCCCCTCTTTAACATCGCCCCCCATCCCCCAACACACACACACACACACAAAAAAAAGCCTGGCATGGTGGTACACATCTGTAGTTTCACCTAACTGAGAAGCTAAAGTGGGAGGATTGCTTAAGCCCAGGAGGTTGAAGCTGCAGTGAGCCATGATCAAGCCACTGCACTTAGCCTGGGCAACAGCGTGAGACCCTGTCTCTTTAAAAACAACAACAACAAAAAACAAAAAAACAACAAAAAACTAAAACATAAAACATACGCTGCTTCCCATTGCCTGGGATAAAGGCTAAATCCTGATACACATAGGACTGCTACACAGTGTGGCCCCGTGGCCTCAGCCTCAGCTTCTCTCTCTGGCTCATCTGTGGCCATGCCTTACCAGGCAGTGAGTTCCAGCTAATCCAAATGTCTCTCAGTTCCCAAACTTGTCATTCCTTTTCATATGTCTGTGCTTTTGGAAAGGCCAAAGAATTTCCAGCTTATTATCTTGTTATGCATTCTCTTCTCTATGTTTAGAATTTTCCCCACCCAGAGCCCCTTATCCTGCCTTTTTTCTTTCCTGGACTACTATTTAACCCACAGGGCCATTCAGCTGTCACCTCTTTTGCACCACCCACACTCCCATCCCCAGGTGAAGGTAGGATTTCCTCTCTGTGTATTTCTCAAGCTCCCCTTCTTCTGTGGATACTTGTTTACTTGTCATTCTCATGTGGGCTCCTGGAGGCCATGGCATTTTATATATCTGGTACCTAGCACAGTGCCTGGCATATAGTAGGTTCTCAATAAATACTGAATAAATGAATAACAAAGTTTGCAAAGAGAATAGTAGCTTTCAGCTTGCCTTGCTAATTTTACTAATGAAGAAGTTGAAACCTAGTGGAACTAGGAGAATTACATAATGATAGGTTGGTTCTGGCATAGAACCAAGGTGTTTTGAGTCGTCGTTGAATGTTCATTCCACAATGCAGCATGGTATGATAAATTTGATGGTCTTCTAAGGAAGGAATCTTTGGTTTTAGCAACAAAATGTAACTTAGGATGACAAGAAGAAGTATTGGTGAAAAAAGAGAAAAAAAGCAGTTGATTTTATTTCACAGAAGTTATCATATTATTTTATTAATCTTTGCATCCAAGGCAAACAAAGTATGAAAGTGCTGGGAAGAGGCTGGGCACGGTGGCTCGTGCCTGTAATCCCAGCACTTTGGGAGGTCAAGGCGGGGGGGATCACTGGAGGTCAGGAGTTCGAGACCAGCCTGCCCAACATGGTAGAACCTCGTCTCTACTAAATTAGTCAGGCATAGTGACATATGCCTGTAATCTCAGCTACTTGGGAGGCTGAGGCAGGAGAATCCCTTGAACTGGGAGGTATAGGTTGCAGTGAGCCGAGATTGTGCCACTGTACTCCAGCCTGGGAGACAGAGCAAGACTCTGTCTCAAAAAAAAAAAAAAAAAAAGGAAGTGCTGGGAAGAGAGCAGTAATGCCAACCCCAGAGAATGACACTTTAGAAGAAAGAAATGATAGCACGTTACCTAAACTGATTAGTTAGTACTGGGCAATTTGGAAAGATTTCTTCCCTTAAGCTCTAAAGTAAGTAATTGAGGTGTGGAAACTTCACAGATCTCTGGGGATCAATGCTTGCCTTGAGGGACTGGCAGTGAGAGGAACGGGGAAGCAATATTTCTTTTGAAAGGGAGCCAAACACATGTTTCATTGTTCTGGGTTCCCTGTTTAAGACCAAGTGACTTTTGATTGAGAATATTCTGTTCTGGAGGGAACCTGTAGTGTTTGCTTATCTTTTTATGAAAATTTTAGATACACAGAACTAAAAAGTCTGGAAAGAAAAACTAAGATTAATATTGTGTTCCCCAAAATAAGACACTAAGAGTTACGGTGCACGTTGTGGAAAAGAAAAGATGAAATTTAGAATATTTATTTTATTTAGAGTGGAAACAACTACAAATGATAGTAATTTGCTAAGGAAATAATCATTCTAAATAACACATCTCTTTCAACAGAATCTGTCTACCTCACCTTGCTAAATTGAGAGAGATACAGATTACATGGGAGAAATACACTTTATAACTAAGAGATAGATTTTAGGAATTATAAATTAATTTTAAAGCATACAGACTTGGAAGATGATGAATTTTAGCACCGTCAGTTCAGTTGCCTTTAGAGGTAGGCAGGGGCATGGCGAATTCACATCAGGGGACCTGCTGCTGCCCTTGAGGAGGATAGAGAGAGGAAGGGATCTAAGAGGAACCATGCTGGGCATGGAGGTGGCAGAAGCAACCAAACTGAGAGCCCAAAAAGAGTAGAAGTAGGTCTAAGTTGAGAGCTGAAAGCAGAGATGCCAACCCATTTTCAGCAGGAAGGAAGAACAGACTGGAAAGAGTGGAGAGAGCGTGTTTATGAGAATTATTATTGGGAACAATTTCAGAATGGATAGGTCTGCTGTACTCTTTACTGTATTTATAGCAGAGCTTTGATGAGATGATAGCAGAATCAGAATTGACTTTCACTCAGTCGTGTTTTACAGCGAAATTCTTGTGCATTTCCTAAAATCATCACTAAGAATAATAAATTCTGGTGCAACTACCAGCTCCATTACTTCTTGAACAACTGCTCTTAGCAGTCAGGGCAGCTATACTAACCCCACAAGTCCAATAAGCTCAGCTTGAGTTTGCGGAGTACCACTTTCTTTTAGATTATTCATCCTAGAGTTTCCGTTGACTTCATTTAGTGACTGTGTTGCCCAACAGTCCCATATACTGCTTTTTTTTTATGATCTGGAAGTTTCGTCTTCTTTTTTCTACTCCCCACAATCTAAATTTATTCCCTTTGTTTTCATTTTTTAAATACCTTTCTCTCTACTTTTTAAGAGACCAGCCTGGATCTGACAAAGTATTCCATCAGTTTGTGATGTCTGACCCATCCCAGAAAATGCATTGGTATTTTAAAAATGACCTGTTGGAAATATACCACTTTAAGGAAGGAGGACCATCATGGTTCAGGTATCATGGAGGCAGATAGGTGGGTGCTTTGGGACTAGAACCTAAGGAAATGTTAGAGAGACAGGAGGCCTTCCTGAAGCATTTTTAAAATGCAGAATTCCAGTAAGAATTATAAGGAGATAATATGTGTGAAGAGTTTGGGTACCTTACGTGGAAAGTCCTAGTCAAAATCTAAATATTAGTATTCCTGTCATTATAGAGTCCCAGAGCAGGGAGGCACTGAGGAATTTGCAATTGAATATCCTCCTCCAGGCCCTTTAGCACCTTCTAAAGATTTCATAAATCAGGGAATATGCCACGGTTTGCTGAAGGGATAAGTGTTTGAGAGGTGATGAAGTTTACTTGGAGAATTTAGAGTTCAGTTTTATTTGAACTAAAGCGTGAATGGACCCACAGTACTGAGGATCCTTCTGGGCCTGTTTAAATAGTAGCTCCAATTCCCTTTTTGAACAGTTTGCATGTCAGCCAGTGAGTGCTACAAATGCTGATCTGTACTGCATGAGAGCCTCTCCTGGGACAGGGCATGGTACAAACTTCTTGCAACCTAATCCTTCAAGCACCAGCTCAAGTCACACGCCTGCCATGAAGTTTTTCTTGACAACTCCAGGGCCTGCCGATATTTCTCTCCTTTGAACTCATACGCACTTGTCGAGATTGCACTATTAATTTAGCCTTTCGTGTTTGTGTAGCAAGGTGGAAAATTTTATCCAACAGAAATTCTGGGGGCTGCTGCTTCTTGGGAAAAGAATGATTTTTTAAGTGGCTGTCTGGCAAGAAAGGTCACTTGTGGAGAACAGAGTGGGTGAAGGCAGGCTGTGAACTGGCTCTGGGAGGACAAAGAAGGAATAACACAGAGAACACTGCATGTGGGTGAGAGGACTCCATGAAAGAGGGGGTGAGGAAGAAAATGCAAGTGACTTTTCTCAGTGTGGGCTTTTAGGGAGAGGAATAAATGGCTATCTGAAAATAATGAGCAGGAATGTTTTTTAGTTTTTTGGCATGGTGCTGCATAAACATTCCATAACCAGTATCTAGTTTAGTCTTAGGGCGACTCTCACTTTTCTTTTCATTTGTTCATTTATTCATGTAAACATGTGTTGCATATTTATTGACTTCCTATTATGAGCCAGGCACTGTTTTAGGTCTGGACATTTAGCAGTCAATAAGACAGATAGATATTCTAGTAGGAGAGACAGACAGTAAGTAAAGTGGAAACAGATGAGATAATGTCAAATATTATTAGTGCTCTGATGAAAATAGAACAGGAACATGTGGTGGAGAGTGACTTTGTCTAGCTTTTATGAGGGGCACACATAAAAATATGTGGCTTATTATCCCCAAGTAGACTTGAACTACCCAGGACCATGCCTTACACATCTTGATCTTCTCCATTTTTCCCACAAACTACCTTAGGCCTTCCTAGGTACTCGACATTTCAAATATATCAATGAGTTCAAGAATAGAGTTTTGTAATGAGACTATTGATTTCATAGGATTTCTTAGCCTTTTTTTTTGGTGCCCCGATGATTTTTTTAACAGTTTGTTGAGACCCATAGTCTCTATTCAGAATAATATTTTGTGTATGCATAAAACATAAAACATAATATGTCTATGGAAACTAATCATATATAGTCTACAGTTCTCTGATCCCAGGCTGATAACCACTAAAAGATAATACAATAATTTTTCATAGGAAATATTGTGATGGGGAAATTAAGCTTTGAGGATTATAGCTCTTTTATTCTACAGTGCAGACTAAATTGAGCACAAATGACAAAAGCAAACTATGTTGACATTTAGGGGAAAAGGGTTGCCAACAAGTCTTTAGGACTTACCCATCAGGTGAAACTGAACATAAATTTAATGTAGCTGGTAAAACAGAAGACAGTACAGGTCAATTCACTGGTTTGGTATTCCCCTAGCTGAGAGCTCTTGGGCACTGGGTTAGAACATGAGGTAGACACCTGGGAGGGTAATCAACTTACTGGAAATAATTGCAATGACACAGATTGAGAAGGAGGTGAGCTACAAGGCCCAGGCAGGATGGAGCTTGCCTAGAGCTTGTCTACAAAGGACCCACTCAATGTGGCCAAAGCTGCACAAAGGCATCAGGTCAGCAGGGGATAAAAACCAGACCCCAAATTAGGGAAGTGAGGATCAGTGCCAGGGTCCAGAGGCCATGATGAAAGATTCAAGTCAGAAGTCTCTAGGCTTTCCCAGAAGTCCAATTTTACATGAAATTCCTTTTTAAATTATAGACCATTCAGAAGCAAGTCTAGTTTTTCCATGGAGTTGTGCAATTGAATAGGGTTTCCTCTTTAGTTTTTACTTGGGTGATTTAACAACGCATAGGATAGCAACAAAGCCACATGCCTGAGGCTTCTGATTCTCAGAAAGCAAGTAAGAGCCTGCAGCACAGTGGCTGCCACCATTTACTTTGTTCTTTCCATCATTTTCTAGTTTCATATGGCCTATCTTCCACTGGACACGCTCCACAATGACCTTACACTCGACATATCCGCCGATCTTATCGTCGTCTACCTTTCCTTTGTTGGTTTATGATAACGTTCTTTTCTAAGTTACATTAATTCAAAAACAATGGAGCTTTTTAACTTTTTTCTTCATGGCTTGCCATATGTAAACAATCATGCAAGCTCTATGGATCATACATTTGAAACTGATCTCTTCTTTCTTCGAAAGCAGCAGTTCCTGAGCAGAACATTATTACCTCATTTCAAGATTTCTTCCTAAATCTTGTGACAGAGGTTCTATGTTCTTGCATCTTTCATTAAAATCCTTCATTCTCTACCCTTAAACCCCATACTCTCCCTTTCAAGAAACCAAGTACAAAGCACCTCACATGATGTTTATGATTCTTTATATTAATTTATATTTTTCTAGCTATAGCTTATATTGCTGTGCCTGATAATTTTTTATCAAACGCCAAACAGTGTGTATTTTGCATTGTTGGCTGCTGGATTTTTTTTTTTTTTTTTTGTATTTCCTTAAATCTTTTTGGGCTTTGCTCTGTGGTGTAATTAAGTTGGTTAGCATCAGTTTGATCCTTTTGAGGCATGCTTTTAAACATTCTTAGGCAGGTCCAGAGTAGCCTGTAGTCTGTAGTCTATGCCCGATTTAGCACCGCTACTAGGGTAATAACCCTTCGGAGGACACTCCTCAATGCTCTGTGTATTCTGAGGTCTTTCTTCTCTCGCTTGGTGGGAACAGGAACTCTTCCTATCTTTTTGTGAGCTCCAGGCATGGTTCCTCCTGCTCCTTTCAGGTATTTCTTTCTCTGGCCTTGACAGTTTCCTACATGCTATTCAGTACTCAAAGAAGCAAGGCAACACTCTGCGGATTCCTGAGCCTGCTTGCTTTCACATGTCTCTCCTCTATGGTGCTCTGCCCTGCTAATTCTAGCCGCATAGCTTCCTATTTTTTAGCTCTGTGTCTTCTACTCAGGGAGATTATCAGGCTGTGTCTGGGCTCCCTCTACCTCTACCACACTGAAAACACTCTCTAGGCTTGAGACGGGAGTCAGCTAGGTCACCTGTAGAGCTCACCTTGTTTACCTTCTCTCAAGGATCATGTCTTACACTACCTGCTGTCCAAAGTCTGAAATATGTTGTTTTATATATTTTATCTGCTTGTTATTAAGGCAGATGGGTTAATCCAGTCCCTGCCACTTTACCCTGAATAGATGACTAAAAGTAGAAGTCAATATCTTTATATCTAGGTCACATTTTACCTATCTGTCTTTATCTCCTACTTTTGGGTTTGAATTGTATTTTAGTTAGATTGCTTATTCACTCATATGTTCAAGCCTAGCATAACCAACACTTCACGTATCTTTGGATGGGTAAGAAAAAAGAGTGTTGGTCCCTCTCCCTTGCAGATGTTATAGCCTAGTAGATAAAAATTTGCTACGTAAATTCTAGATATAGTAGTACTAATTGAAAAAGCATATTTATCTTTCAAAATACATATGAAATGAAACCAATTTTATCTCTTCACTTGGTAAGATGAATAGCAGATAGTAAGTGAAAACCAATCTGCTACAAACAATTAATTTTAATACCCATCCTCCCATCTCAATATATCTTACCTCTCCCCTCATTTAGTAGATGCTTGCTAAATATTATACCAACTTAAGGGGCAGATGGAGTGATCACCAATCCCCTGTGGCCTGCTGAGTATGATTGGCCTGTGGGCACCTTCTGGACCTAACAGTGATTGAGGTTTCTTATAGCTGGGATACAAAGATGTTGAATCTGCCATAACTCACATTAAGTCATATTATAAGGCTATTAGGGCAAGATCCATTCTACAGTTAACTGAGGGTTAAAAGTAGCAATGATCTAATCTCTGATGTTTACATTTCCAGACTCAAGGAAAATTTTCTTAAAGTACAGATAAATCAAGTAGACTTTGTTTTTGCATGTTCAGACACACTCAGGAAAAAAATTTATTTGGAAAATAATGAAAAGTAACTTTATAAAGTTCTGAATCTTGGATTCATTGCGTGAGTTATTCATAATTGATATATATTAAAATAACTGTTTTAGTTGACTAGCATTTTTTCCTTAATTTTACAGTAGATAAATTCTTGTGTTATAAAATATCTGGAATAATAACAAGAAGCAACTATAAAGTATTTACTCTTGAATTATGTAGATCTTACTCAAATGGAAAAATAAGGAATTTTTGAAACACAAAAATGTAATTAAATTACATGACAAGTATCCTACCACCAGTATTTTACTATTCATGAACCCTAATACAATTGGAATGTTATTTTTTTTCTGTTTTCAAATAAAATGTAGACTCATAACTTTTTTTTTTTTTTGTCAAAAATACAAATCCTCCTAGTAGCTTTTAATCACCAAATGTCTAAGTTCAGAAATATGTCTAGTCAAATGCAGTGGGATTAAGGGGCACGGCTACCTTGTGTATTTCCATGCCTAGTGCCTCTGCTCCTCTCCCTTTGTCCCGGGATTGGTTTTTCTACAGTTAACTGAAGGGAGAAAGGAGAGGTAGAAGGGCAGAAGGAAGTGTTCTTAAACATCTCAGACATGATAAAGGTTTACTTTGACCATGGTGGCATCTCAGGGGCACTTGGGTTCTTGGGAGACATCCTCTCTGTCCCCTGCCATTGCATTGGATCTTATACATGCAGTTTCTTCAGTGTGGGTGCATGCATCCTCTTTCATGATCATTGGGATTCAGTTGTCATTTCCCAAGAATGCTAGCGGTTCCTCCAGCATCTTTCCTTTGATGTTTCTTTGCTCCTCCCAGAGGCTCTGTTGCACAGGATCTAAGATAACTTCTCTTCCACTTGCTTGCTCATGACTCACATTTAGTGTATGAGAAATGCACATCTGAGACTCTCTGTCCAAAGAATGAGATTATTTTTCAAACTACGGTTTGTTCTCTGTGCCCCAACCAGACCCTTGTCTTTTAGAGTACTCAGGTATGAGTCAGATACACAGGTCCACTCTGTTTTTCAAACTTCAGGGGACACATTTCAAGCTCTCTAAGTGATCTTTGTAAACCCCTTTTAATTAGGCTTTAAGTTAGGAGACAACCTGATGCTCCCACTCCACTCTCAAAGTGTGGGTGGGTGGAGACCCCACACAGCTACAGCTGTCTTCAAAGAAATCTTCTCTCTCATTTCCAATTCCTTTTGGCTCTTCAAATTTAACCTTTTTACACCTTATAATAGGCTTGAGGGGTCAATGGTGCAACCTGGTTTTTACCCACTTCCTTTGCTAATTCTGCCTAAGTGATATGGGATTATATTTTTGAATGTCAGAGTAACTGGCATTTCCTTGTATTAAGACCTCAGCTGAGACTGAGACCAAAATAGTTCACGTTAAAACCCTTTTGCACTTACAACTTAAGACACTTTAGCTTGTCCAGACCACAGAAAGAAAAATATACCCCAAAGGAACATTTGAGAAGTGACATTAAATATTTGTTTTACATTCTTAATATTTGTAAAGGCAAATTTTGTGTTTTTAAAAGTGTATTTTCTGATCAATTTTGCTATTTTTATGTTATGGTCTAGTCCAAGAGTGGAGTCTTGATTTACAACATTGTGCCTTTAGGAAATAAGGTCAGGGGACCAACTAGGTTGTAAATCAGGTATTGCGTTTTTTTTTTATGCTTTGTACAGAAAATTCCACTGTTGGCGTAGTCATCAAAGGTGGAAATAATGCAGAAGAGTATTCTTAACATGTGGAGCTCTTTCTACAGGAGCTCTTGGTAAGACAAATGCCTCCTTGGAAGCACGAGATTATTCCCCTTTTGTGTTCTTTGCCATAGCTGTGATAGTAAAGGCTTCTTTCTACCTTCTTAATTTCCCACCCTTGCCTCCCTTTAGAACATAAAAAGCCATTCCACCTTGAATGGAAAACATTCTCGGCAGCTTGTAGGGACTGAGTCCAGGACAGTGAGTCAGAAGATGGCCACTAGGGGGCAGCTACGTAAAGCTTTTAGGCTTAGTTTTGTAGGTACTTGGGAATTATGGAAGGTTTCAGAGCAGGGTAGTGACCTACCAAAAATGTGTTAGGAAGATTAATTTGGCAGGCAGAGTGAAGGGGAAAGAATAGGTACAAAAGTCAGATCTAGGACTACCCCTGTGATTTCAGGGTAAAGAGGGAAGCAGTGGTATCAAGGAAGATACCAAAGAGTGGTGAAAGCATTACAGACATATTATGAAAAGAAATATTAATATAGAAGCATGACTGCACGACTATGGAGGGAGGAAAAAATGGAAAACAAATTCTCTGTTTGGAGAATGTTAATTCTAAAGATGGAAATAAACCCACTTAGCCATTTTTCCCCCTCTAGGTATAATCCATTTAAGTGAAATTTATCAAAAATTTAAAGGTATTCTTGAAATGTTTTCATCTATCAAAACAAGTTTTTTGGAACATTAACAATTTTAGTCTGACAGTTGCTGGAGATTTAGGAGAAAAGTGTCAGTTGGCTCTTTTTTCTTGGGGAAGGGAAAAGGAATCAGTAAGACAAATATGGTGTCTACCCTTCTTTTCTAGCTCCCCATTTTTTCTTCTTTATTTAATCATAGATGTTTGGAGAAACAAGGTTCTGACTACCTCTCTGGCTGGGTAGAGAACAAAACAGTGGAAAACTGTGTCATGGGAATACATTGTCTCAGGAGATCTTTGTATTAATGTACAAGTCCACAGAGCTTCATGGAGATTACAACCTCATCTTATTAATAAGATAGATATTAAATGAAAATATTTCCCCAAATGTAAATACCTGCCACACATCTAAGGGGAGATCTCAATATATTACAACTTTAAGCCAATGCTGCTACTGCATCTTTTAAAGGTTAAAGAAAGAGACCCCAAAAATGGAAGCTGGAAGCTAGACTGTGACAAGGAACATGCTTACCAGGGCTGATGTGTATTCTGAAGTTTTCAATTTCTGTTTTGCAGTTTATCCTGGTCTTTAATGTTTTGTTTTCTATACTTTTATGTGCTTGGCTAAAGTGAAATTAAAACATATAAGCTACAAAAATTAACTCAATGAAATTTTGAGGTTTTGCCATTGGGGAACCTGAATTAATAGTTTTAATATAGAATTCAGGACAGACAGCATCATGCCAGACCTTCCAAATTATATAATTAATTTTAGCAAACAGTGCTTAGGATAAGAATTTTCAACAGCTGTGTGTGCCTGGTTTCTCTGCTAATGTTCCCTGTGGAGTTCTGGGACAACCAGCTCCAGGTCTTTGCTGCACTGGTGCTTGCTTTACTGGGGTACTGCACATTTCATGCTCCATTGAGACCACCTATATGGTGGAACTGGTCCTCCTTGGGCTTTCTATATTGCCTTTTGCCACCACCTTAGAACTCTCACTCACAGCTCATCTCTCTCTTGGATCAGTAAAGAAGCACTTTTTTCTTCTTATATTTTTCCAAACATACTCAGAGTCATTGCTTTTCACTTACCCACTGCTACTACTGTTGACAAACTACCACCATCTCTTACATGGATCACTGTGATTGCCTTGGATTGATCTCCCTGCCTCTACCATTGCTCCCCACAGTCTATTTGTTGACATTGCAGCCAGTGATTCTGGCTGTCAGATCTTGTCACTCCTTGGCTGAAAATTTTACAGGGGATCCTGATTTCACTCCTAATCAAAGACAAAGTCTTTATGAAGACCTAAAGGTCTTTGCAAATCTGATCTCACCTCTTATGGCTCACCTTTCACTCACTGCACTCTACTCACATGTGACCACAACATTCCAGGTATGGTGAAATGCCTTGTTTCCCTCAAGTCTTATTGTAATGCTATCCTGCCATAGAGGCCAGCCCTGGGCACCCTGTTTCAAATTGCAAGCTGCTCTTCCTACCACCCCAACCTTCTTTATCCTGTTCCACTTTCGTCTATAACTTTTATCTATACAGTAGTCCCTCTTATCTGCAGGGTATATATTCCAAGATCCCCAGGGGATGTCTGAAACCACAGATAGTACTGAACCTTATATATATTATGTTTTTTTTTTTCCTATATGCACATACCTATGATAAAGTTTAATTTATAAATTAGGCATAGTACAATACTAACAATAATGATAAAATAGGACAATTTTAATATATGGTAATTATGTGAATGTGGTCTCTATCGCTATCAAAATATTTTATTTTACTGTAGATCTTAGCAACCTCGGCATACAATCTCTTTTTCTTTCTTTATGAAGATGAGAACTTTCACATTTTCACTTAAAGGAAGCACTCTCTGGCTTATCTTCGGCATATCCGATTTGCCAGCATCATTACTCTTGTGCTTTGGGGCCATTATTAAGTAAAAGAAGGATCATTTGAACACAAGCACTGTGGTACTGCAGTGTGTGGAGTGAGACTGACCTCATACTGTGGCTTTTTGAGCCTCAGTCCCAACCTCACCCAAATCATGTTACATTTAATTATACTCAAGGAGCATATTGTTTTCAAAAATAGAATTACTCTTTTCAACTGTGGCAAGGGTTGGGAGATTGTGTGGGGTAGATGATCCTCATGAATTTCTAGGGTAGGGGACCCTCATAGAAAAGTCTAATTTTTCTTCATCTAAGTAGGCAATAGTTCCTATAAACGTAGGTTGTGACAGAGATATTTGTGTTCCTGGTGTGGGAGAAAGAAAAATAATTTTTGTGATGAGTTCCAAAATCAGTTATTTTTCAAAACTGTGAATGGCTTAAAAAATGACATTTTGTTTGTTTGTTAATCTGCATTTTGGGCAGGCTTGTTGGTGATAGTTTGTTTCTCTCCAACTTGGCCTCAGCTGGGGCAGCTTGAAGTGTGGAAGCTGGAATCATCTGAAGTTTGCTTATCCACATGTCTGATGGTTCGTGCTGGCTGTTGGCTGAGACCATGATTGAGACCATTGCCAAACATATACACATGGGCCCCCATGAGGCCTGGGTTTTCTTACAACATAGTGACTGGGTTCCAAGGGTGAGCATCTTGAGAGAGAAGAGAGATAGAAGAGAGAGGAAGAGCGATGGAAGCCATATTGCCTTTTATGGCCTAACCTCAAAAGTTATACAGGCATCAATTCTGCCATATTCTATTTTTTCAGGAAATCCCACAAAAGGTGGCCCAATTTCAAGGACAACAAAAGAAATCTCACCTTTTGATGGGGGAGTGGCAATTTCTGGAAGAGCATGTGGGACTGAAAATATTGCTTTGGTCATTTTGGGAAAACAAAATGTCTGCCATCAGCCCTCTGACTATTACAACATAATAGTAAGATACACTTGCCCTCTTCCAAGGCTTCTAAAATCCCATTTTTGTTTCAGCATCAGACTTGGTTTTGGGATTCAGAATCTCACTATTAAAATGAAATCCATATCTGGTGAGGCTCTGTGGGTGTAGATTATCAGGTCTCTGAGGCCTATTTTTCCTGGTCTAAAGATCTGTGAACTAAAGAGATAAATGACCTGCCTCTTATATAATCCATATGCCATGGGAGGGCAAGTGCAGACAACTGCTATTGACATTCCCATTCAAAAAGGGTAATGGGGGGAGGGAAATGGGAAGAATACAGCAATGAGTGGTACAAAGAGACTTTGAAATCCAACTGGATGTATCTTTTCAATTCCATTCTTAATTCTCAGTCCTACTACCTAACAGTAGGTTGAAAAATCTACACAAGGCCTCTCCATGTGGCTTGGGCTTCCTCACAACATGGATGCTAAATTTCAGTTGCAATAGTCAGATGTTGGAGAAAATTTGTAATTTTTAAGCTATGTGGAAAATTACCTGAGTCAACATTGTAAGACAGTCTACTGAAATTTTATCTACTTTTTACTAAAAAGGATAGGAACAAAGTGGCATTTCCCAGTGAATGGATAACATGTAATGTATGCTGTGGTTAAAAAATGGAGTCCTCTGTAGAATTACAAGTTCAGTTTTGGCAGCATAATTTGAAAGAATAAAATAATAAACCCTCATGTTTGTAGTAAAATGTTTTTACTACATACATAATAGTTTCCTGTAAACTATTATCTAATGTGAAAGGAGAAATACTCTTTATAAAATGAGTTCTACAATTAGGGCAATTCTAGAAGTATGTGTCTTTATATCTTACTGTGGCCTAAAAGCTTAAACTCATGGGAAAGATTCTAAAAGGGAAAGATTTCAACTTGGGAGGGAATATGGTAGGAAAACAAGCATGGAAAATGTTCTGGTTATCTATTTGTGTATAACAAACTGTCAAAGCTCAGTGGTTTAAAGTCACCATTTCTTTCTTTTCCCTCTCCATAATGTAGATCATGAGTTTGGGAATGGCCCCACAGGGATTACTCCAGGGCAGTTCAGGCTGTGGCATCCACTTCTGAGATGGTTTCTTTATCCATATATTTGGCACATCAGTGCTCCTTGGCCTTTTTCTCTCTCTCTCCACGTGGTGTCTCACTGCTATGGACTGAATGTTTGCTCCCTCCCCTGCCAAATTCGTGTGTTGCAATCCTAACCCCCATTGTGATAGTACTAGGGGTTGGGGCCTTTGGGAGGTCAGGAGGGTTCGGCCCTCAGGAATAGGATTTGTGCACTATAAAAAGAGGATACATGGGTTGCTCTCTCTGCTCTCTGCCAGAGATGACACCTGCAAACCAGGAAGCAGGCCTTCACTAGGCACTGGATATGGTGGCACTTTGGCCTTGCACTTCCCAGCCTCCAGAATTTTGAGAAATAAATTTCTGTCACTTAAACCTCCTACTTCATAGAATTCTGTTATAGCAGCCCCAGCTGATCAACCTAACTTCAGGGCCCCTGCAGATGAATTATGCTTCCCACAGCTAGGTGGCTTTAAGATGGTGGCCTAGGGCTGTCAGAGACTGGTGTTCCAATAAGCCCTGGCAGAATCTGCAAAGCTTTTCATACTTGCCTCAGAAGTCCCAGCATACCACTTCTACTATATTCTCTGGGCCAAGCATGTCATTAAGGCCATTCAAGATTCAATGGGAGAAGCAGCAAAGATTTTGTGGAGAACTTTAATCCATTATAGTCCGCTTTTGGCCACAAATTATTTACATTCCTACCAAACACACAATACACTCATATATCCCAAAGCCCCTGGATCTCATTCTTTTTCAGCATTGGCTTGAAGCCTAGGATCTGAGTAGCCAAATCAGGTCCAGATGTGCATGAGTTCCTCAGGTGCACTTCCCTGGGTACAATTCGTATCAAACAAAGGCCTGTGAACTACAGTCATATTTTCTCCTCCTCCTCGCAACACCCAACATAAAATAGTAGACCTGGCCTAGGAAAACCAAATAGTCCCTCTGGTTCAAAAAGAGGGAAACAGAAGCGACATAGGTAGTCACTGGTAAGGAGCAATTATGAAATCTGGCTGGACATGTGTGGCCTGCTTCTTAATTAGGGCCCAGACCTGCTCCCTGGGGTGACTCTCTGTGGCCATTCACTCTTCCTCATGGATTCTTGCCTCTGCCCTTGGTCTCCCACCCCTTTCCATAATAAATAGTCCCTTTTTCCAGCTGAGTAGTTTTTTAGCCTGCTTTCTCCACAAGGAAATTCAAAGATTCAAAGGTCTGTTTCATTTTGTAATCTTTTTGCCTTTCAGCTGAAACTAATACAGTTTGTTGGTCAGTGTACCAAAGCCAGTCCATATTCAAGGAAAGAGAGGGGAATTACACTGTAGCTCTCTATGGTAGGAACAGCAAAGAGTTTGCAACCACCATTAAAGATTTCAAGAATTTGGGGCTTGAGAGATTAGGGCTGTCCATTAGATGTTAGAGTCTTATTCATGCTAAAGGTATTTGGGCATTATTTACATCTTTTTCCCCTCCTTGAATGCACCATTATGTTGTATTGAAAAAATTTTAGTTTCAGAAATTTGTAGAGTCAATCAGGGAACAGAGACGGCAATAGTTTTTAAAGATACCAAAATTGATGTATGTATTCATTAGTTTTGCTCTTTTACTAAATTTAAAGGAAGGAAAATTGGGTCACCACAACATGGAAGTCAATTATTACATTTGTTATGAAATATTCCTAAGCACCTAGGTGCTGGATATTTCCATAACTGATTACTGAATTTCACTGGGGTATTTGGGTTTTCTTGAATGCAGAGAAATATAGCACTTTATTTATTTATTTATTTTTCGGATAGAGTCTCACTCTATCATCCAGGCTGGAGTGCAGTGGCACAATCTTGGTTCACTGCAAGCTCCACCTCCCAGGTTCAAGCGATTCTCGTGTCTCTGCCTCCTGAGTAGCTGAGACTACAGGTGCCCACCACCATGCTTGGCTAATTTTTGTATTTTTAGAAGAGGCGGGGTTTTGCAATGTCGACAGGACTGGTCTCAAACTCAAGTGATCCGCCCTCCTCGACCTCCCAAAGTGCTGGGATTACAGGTGTGAGCCACTGCACCCGGCCAGCACTTATATTTAATATAACAGATAGTATATATTTGAAAGCATGTAACCAAAGGAACAGCAATTTCCAGTTGCATGTGGCGCTGGCTTAATGGAGAAAAATCCATGGAAAACTCAGACTTTTGTCTGTATTCCCACAATCTTTAGTGTCATTTGTGAAACTCCCACTGATATGGGAGGAAAGGGGATCTAGGATCCCCAGTAATTAAGACCTTGTAGGAAGAAAGAAAACTCCTGTTAAAAACCCCCATTCTTCATATTTCTGATTTTTTTTTTATTAAAAACATCTTTCTCAAATAAAAAGGGAGCAAGATGAAATTTCTTTCCCAGAGATAATGGGAACTTCAAGACACATTTCTAACTACAATCTATGGTCACCATGAACTTTATAAAAAATGTTTTTCTATTAAGTTTGCAGAGATGTCAGGCCTTGCTGGAAAACTGATGTATTTATGTGTGCATATTAAAACTTTTAAATATGTTAAAGGAACATAAAATCAAACTTATTCACCAAACTTTCTCAATTTTGTTGCATAGATAGTTGAATCTTAATCTTACCACAGTCTAGCTTTTGCCATTTTCTCAGCGGCCTGATAACTATTTGGCATTAAGATTTTGTTCTCACGCTTAGGGTAGACAGACATGTTGTACAGCACACGTGTAGAACTGACGGCAGTAATGAGATAATGACTTGATAACATGCATATGTTCCTCCCTTTAAGATTGGGCAAGTATCATTTATGACAGATTTGGAACCTTTATCCAAGTCGGACTAAACCAAGCCAAATATCATTGGCAATTTTCTTCTATGAATCAGATATTTCTCATGAAGCAGCTAACTTCTGACTTAGAAATAATTATTTCTAAAACCAATGCACTTCTGTTTACATATTCAGAGGTAACTATCGGTGAAATGGGGATAATCCTTTGCAGAAGCTCTTGCTAATTTGGAAGTTGGACAGTGATCAGACAAACTTAAAGAAAGCATGTTCATAAAAATATAGGGTTTAGAAAAAGCAGTGAACATGTTTATATTTTACTGGAGGCAGAAGATGGTATTTGATAAGTTATTCTAATCAACAGAATTGCTGCTGCCAATGTGTGAGAAAATAAACTGGTCACCAAACTCCAAAGGAATTCTCTGCAGAGTCTGGTGTTGTCCATAAAAAATTGTTGCCTGTGTTCCCCTTCCCCCGCAATGTGATACTAGAATTTGCAGTTGGATAAATACCTAAAGTTGATCTAGTGACTCCATGATCTAGGCAGTTTAAAATGCTTTCTTGGCTGGACGCGGTGGCTCACACTTGTAATCCCAGCACTTTGGGAGGCCGAGGTGGGCGGATCACGAGGTCAGGAGATGGAGACCATCCTGGCCAACACGGTGAAACCCCGTCTCTACTAAAAATGCAAAAAAATTAGCCGGGCGTGGTGGCGGGCGCCTGTAGTCCCAGCTAGTCGGGAGGCTGAGGCAGGAGAATGGTGTGAACCCGGGAGGCAGAGCTTGCAGTGAGCCGAGATCGCGTCACTGCACTCCAGAATGGGCGACAGAGCGAGACTCCATCTCAAAAAATAAATAAATACATAAAGAAATAAATAATAAAAATAAAAAAATAAAATGCTTTCTCATTGCTCCTGGAGTTAGTGACAGAGTCAGGTCTTTTGACCCAGTTTAGCCTATTTGTGAGCATTTAATGCTACCAATCTGTATCCTACTGTTTTTGTTCTTCCTCAACTATATTTTTTATGAGAATGATTTTATCTGTTGAGTTATTTAAGAAACACAGCTGCATTGTGCTAGGAACCACAGATACAAGAATAAGGAAGAATATTTTCTGTCCTTAAAGATCTTACTCTCTAGAAGGAGATAAACAGCAAACAAAATGTTAAAAATATAATGACATTAGTGATAAATAGGAGTATTTAAAAGATGCTATGAGATCATGGAGAAGATAGAACTCTGCTTTGAGGATCAAGAAAAATCTTGCAGAGGTGGTAATATTTGAGCTGGGATTTAAAGATGAGTAGACATTTCTAGGTAAAATAGAAAGAAGACATTCCAAATGGAGTGAAGAGTATGGACACTGGAATGGGAGTTTAAAGAAGCAAATGCTCAAGTCTTCTTCTCAACCCCAGCAAGGTGGGGAACATGGACAAGGCTTCCACTGTGGACAGACTTGGAGAAATGTCAGATGTCTGATGGTCTTTCAAAAGACCAGAGAGAGGAGACATTGGTATGGGGGAGGCTGAAAGACATTAGTAGGAATACAAAATTGAGGGATAAGGTCAAGTAAAGTCAGACTACAGTTAGGAGAAATAGGATTAGTCACTATTCTAGATATAAGTGTGAAATTAAAACATGAATGGAAAAGGAACCCAAGATTCAGCATAAAGAAAAGAAGTTGGGGTAATGAATGAAAGGTAGGGAGAGAGAGAAGTAAGAAATAGGCTACCAGTGGATAAAGCATGACAGTTTCATGACAATTTTTTGAGAGCAGGAATCTGTTTTCTAATGACACCCTAAATAGGCAAACACGCTGTAGGTGGTTACTTAAGGACCTGCATATTTGGAAAACCTGTGAAATATCTGTGTATGGAAGAAGTTCTGAGAGTGTGTGGTAGCATGGAGGGAAATGAGGATGGAGAGGCAGACAGTGATAATATCACAAACATCCTTATAGTCTATGCTAAGGAGTTTGGAATTCCTCTGAAGTTATTTAGAAGACACTGAGGGATTTTTAGTGTGAAGATTTTAATTTTAGAACATTTTTTGGAAGCAGTGTCTAAGATGAATTATGGGTATAGTCCAGAACTGGAATATAGGGCAATTAATTAGAAGACTATTCCAATAATTGTTTTTCAATTCTGATGTTTTAAAGAGTGCTTTTATTTCTTTTTTGTTTTTTTAGAGTTGAGATCTCACTTTGTCATCCAGGCTGGAGTGCAGTGTTATGATCGTGGCTCACTGAAGCCTCAAAGTCCTGGGCTCAAGTGACCCTCTCACATCAGCCGTCTGGGTAGCTGGGTCCACAAGTGCACACCACCATGCCTGGCTACCTTTTTGAGTAATGGAGTCTTACCTTGTTGCCCGGACTGGTCTTGAGATCTTGGCCTCAAGCGATCGTCCCACCTTGGCTTCTCAAAGTGCTGGGATTACAGATATGAACCACTGCTTCCAGCTTGTTTATTTTTTTAATGACCAATAATAATTTTATACATTTATGGGGTACAATGTGATGTTTCAATATATGTATATATTATGGAATGATTAGGCCAAGCTAATTAGCATATCCATTACCTCCCCTACTTATTATCATTACTTTTTGTGGTGAGAACATTTAAAATCTATCTTTCAGCTATTTTGAAATACGCAATACATTATTAATTATGGTCACCCCTCTGTGTTATACACAGCATATGTTATATAATTATCTACCTCCTGTATAACTGAAACTTTGTATCTTTTGACCAATGTCTCCCCTTTTCCCTATTAGCTCCCAACCTGCACCTACCCTGGGCCTGTGGTAACCACCATTCTACTCTCCCATGATGTTGACTTCCAGGTTTTACATATGGGTGAAATCATACAGCATTTGTCTTTTTGTACCGGGCTAATTTCACTTAACATAATATCCTCTAGGTTCATTCATGTTTTCTCAAATGACATTTTTTTTAAAAAAGACTAGTATTTCTTTGTTATATATATTCACATTTCCTTTATGCATTCATTTATTGATGGACACTTAGGTTGCTTCCACATTTTGGCTATTTGAGGTCTTTTGTGGCTCCATACAAATTTTGGAATCTTTTTTTTTTCATTTCTGTAAAAATGGCATTGAAATTTTGGTGAGGATTGCACTGAATCTGTAGATTGCTTTGGGTAGTATGGACATTTTAACATCACCAATTTAAGATGGGAGATTTGGGACATTTGAATCTCCCAAAACATGAGCAAGGGATATCTTTGCATTATTTTGTGTTTTCTTCAAATTTTTCATTAATATTTTCTAGTTTTCAGCGTATAGATTTTTCAACTCCTTGGTTAAATTTACTCCTAAGTATTTTTTAATGCTATTGTTAATGGGATTTTTTTTAAATTTATTTTTTGGATAGTTCATTGTTAGTGTATAGAATGCTGCTGACTTTTGTATGTTGATTTGATGTTCTGCAATTTAACTTAATTTGTTAATCCTAAAAGTGTTTTTTTCTTTTTTTTTTTGGGGGGGATTTGTCAGGGTTTTGTATATACAGACAGTCCCCGACATATGATGGTTTGACTTAGTTTTTCAACTTTATGATGGTATGAAAGCTATACACATTTAGTGGAAACTGTACTTCTCTCATGATGCTGGGCAGAAGCAGTGAGACACAGCTCTCAGCCATGCATTTTCGACTTATGATATTTTCTTGGGTCATAACCCTATTCTAAGTCAAGGACCATCTGTATAAGATCATCATGTTGTCTGTAAACAGAGACATTTAACTCTTCCTTTCTAATTTGGATGCCTTCTAATTCTTTCTCTTGCCTAATTGCTCTGGTGAAGACTTACAGTACTATGTTAAATAGAAATGACATAGTGGGCATCCTTGTCTTGTTCCCAATCTTAGAGGAAAAGTTTTCAAATTTCCACTGTTGAGTACGATGTTAGCTACAGACTTATCATATGTGGCTTTTATTGTATTGAGGCACATTCCTTCCATAGCTAATTTGTTAAGAGTGCTTTTTCTTTTTTTATCATGAAAGGATGTTGAATTTTGTTAAATGATTCTTATGCATCTATTGAGAGGTTTATGTGGTTTTTGTTTTTCATTTTGTTTATATGGTGTATCACATTTATTAATTTGCATATGTTGAATCATCCTCGCATTCCAGGGATAAATCCCACTTGACCATGGTGAATATCCTTGTAATATGCTGTTGAATTTGATTTGCTAGTATTTTGTTGAGAATTTTGCATCTATTTTCATCAGGGATATTGACCTGCAGTTTTCTTTGCTTGTGGTGTCTTTACCTGGTTTTGGTATCAGGGTAATGCTGGCTTTATAAATGAATTAGAAAGTTTTCCGCAGAGTTTGAGAAATATTGGCATTAATTCTTTTAAAAATGTTTGGTATAATTCAGCAGTGAAGCCTTGAGGTCCTGAACTTTTCTTTGATGAGAGACTGTTACCGAACCAATCTCCTTACTTGTTTATTGAACTGTTCAAATTTTCTATTTATGATTCAGTTATGGTAGGTTGTATGTTTCTATACATTTTTTCATTTCTTCTAGGTTATCCAATTTGTTGGTATATAATTGTTCATAATAGTCTCTTATGATCTTTTATATTTCTATGGTATCAGT
The DNA here is from genome assembly GCF_000001405.40 of Homo sapiens. Lineage (NCBI taxonomy): Eukaryota > Metazoa > Chordata > Mammalia > Primates > Hominidae > Homo > Homo sapiens. Next base: position 79,691,263 of record NC_000013.11, read on the forward strand.
TAATGTCTCTTTTTTATTCCTAATTTTGTTTGAGTTTTTTCTTTTTTATTGTTAGTCTGGCTAAAGTTTTGTCAGTTTTGTTTATCTTTTCAAAAAAAAACTTTAGTTTTATTGATGCCTTCAATCTTTTTCTAGTGTCTATTTATTTCTGCTCTGATCTTTATTATTTCCTTTCTTCAGCTACTTCTAGGCTTAGTTCTTTCTAGTTATTTAAGGCATAATGCTAGGTTGTTTATTTGAAATTTTTTTTAATGTAGGCATTGATTGTTATAAACTTCTTAAAACTACTTTTGTTGCATCCCATACATTTTGGTATGTTGTATGTCTATTTTCATTTGCAGAGACTATATCAATAATTCTGGTGCAAGTTTATGAGGGCCCAAATTAAGGCAGTAGTAATAGAGATAGTGAGAAAAAGAAAAAATTGAAAAATATTTAGATGCCAAAACAGACATAAAAATGATCATATGTAAGAGATGAGTGTATTAGTCTGTTCTCGCACTGCTCTAAAGAAATAAATGAGGCTAGGTAATTTACAAAGAAGAGGTTTAATTGATTCATGGTTCCATGGGTTGTACAGGTAACACGGCTGGGGAGGCCTCCGGAAACTTTCAATCATGGTGGAAGGTGAAGGGGAAGCAGCCATGTCTTACATGACTGGAGTAGGAGAAAAAGAGAGATGGAGGAGATGCCACACACTTTCAAACATCCAGAGCTTGTCAGAACTTACTCACTATCATGAGAACAGCAAAGGAGAAGTTCGCCCCCATGATCCACTCAGCTCCAACCAGGCCCCACCTCCAGCATTGGGGATTGTAATTTGACATGAGATCTGGGTAGAGACATAAATCCAAACCATCTCAGTGAGAGAGAGTGGAAAATGAGAATTGCTTTCAGTGTTCAGCTTGAGAGATCTATTAGAGTAGATTTACTGCTGCAACAATAACTTCATAATCTTAATGTGCTTAACCTAATAAAAGTTTATTTTTTCTCATGGGACAGCCCAATTTTGTAGTGGTGGATAGGGGTGTCCTTGCTGTATACAATCATTCAGGGTACCAAACTTCTTCTATTTAGTGGCTCTGCCACAGGGCTTCGGACTCCGTTTCTGGGTCAGAGTCAGATGGTTAATAAAGAAAGCAAGCCTAGGGCATTGTAAGATGTTTTATAGAGTCCAGGCATGGAAATTGTTCATCTCACTTCTGCTGAAATTCCATTGGACAGAACGGAGTCATATGGCCATGCCTAATTGCAAAGAAGCCTAGAAAAGTTGGTCTCTCTGGGTGTCCAGGAGGAGAAGAAAATGAAGTTTGCTGAAGACATAAGCACAGACTGTCTTTCCAATGACTGAGTATATTTATCACTATTCCTCTCTCACTTAGAAGACATTTATTCTTTTTCCAGTGGAGACAGCTTAAAGTCCCATCCAGTCACTCATTCTGCTCAAAGTGCAGAATCTTCAGATGATTTACAGTGAGAGATGTGTCCCTTCCTAGTTTGGTGACTTACGGTCTATAATAACAAATTTTCTACCTCCCTCACACCCGCATACCATTGTGTGATAGAGACTGAATAAGCACAGATAAACACTCCCATTTAGAAAGAGACAGTGGGAAAACATGTAGTCACTGGTGTATAGCAATTCTGAAATCCACTAGACAGACATTGTGAAAAGCCCTTTCCTTGGATGCAGGAGAAGTTCCTTGATTAGTTCTGGTTCTCTTCTCTGGGAGCAGCTTCTGGTCTATGATCCCGGGTTCTGCCCTCTGGGAGGTTGCCTATTGTATATTCCTTGACCACATTTGAAGCAGATGTTGGGGAGTTTGCCTTTCTTGAAGAAAGCATTGCTTCATAGCCCATTCTTGCTTGAGGGATGTTTTAAGGCTCACTGAACACTCACATGCATTTTTTGACCAGGGTATTCATTTCTTTGTCAGAGCAACTTTTCAAAAAAAAAACAAAAAAACATAGTAGCCTCCTGATTTTATTGTTTCCAGATAGTTCAATGTGCCAATAACCACATTCAAGTTTCTTTGCTAACTAATTCTCAGATTTGCTTTTTTTCATTTTAAAATGATTTCTCATTTCCATGTTTTTCTTTCAGTATAACAGAGGCTACTTGTGTCTATATGCAATAATTATCATGGAGAGGAGGTTAGGACACTTAATCAATTTTTGCCAAGGTTGAGATGTTTTGTTTAACTGAGAAGCTTTACATGACATTTTTTGCTTTCTTTCTCAATTTATCTCTTATTATTAAAGGTCTAGTAACAGTAGCTTTTTCTAAACTTCTATACTCTCTTCCATTTCTATTAGTAAGCAAGCCAATTCTTTTTTAAACTCATTGCTTTCTTATAATACCTTGCCTAAGCAAGCCCATAACAGGCAACACACAGCATTCTGATTCTTTCTGGCTACTTCTCCTAGATCTTGAGATTTTGTTGGCAAGTGGTCTGTCTTCTAAATTGTCATGGGAAACAGTTTTATTAAATATTTTCCTGTTGCATAACATGATTTGCCATCTTTGCAGAACCTATGGCAGCTAAAACCTATGACAGCTCTATCTTTACTGCTCGATTTCCAACTGCTAAGCCAATGCCATGTATTTTTGGTATTTATTATCATAGCTTCTCACTTCAAGATTCCAATTAATTAGGAAAGGCAGACGTTTATCATTATAATCTCCCAAACCTCAATGTCCCAATACAATAAAGTGTTTCTTCCTTATATGTCAGTCTAGTAATAGTCTGTCATGGGGAATGGTTCTATTCTAAACAGTCATTCAGGGACCTGGGCTCTTTCCTTTTAGTGCCTTGCCATATCTCAGTGCCTTGCTGTCTTCACTGGATTCTGTGCATGTGGCTGTCAGACAAAGGGAGGTAGAATATAAAGAATTAAGAACTGGGAGGGACAAATGTATTTTGTATCCACATTCTGCTATTGATAGAGTCAGCTACATGGCTACACCTAACTGAAAAGTCTGGGCAATATTTTAATATTTTTTAGATTGGCAAATACAAATTGTGTATATTTATGTTATACCACATGATGTTTCAATACATGTATACATTGTGGAATGGTGAAATCAAGCTAATTAACATATGCATTACCTCACATACTTTTTTGAGGGGGGCAAGAACACTTCAAATATATTCCCTTTGGCCAGGTTCGGTGGCTCACAGCTGTAATCCCAGCACTTTGGGAGGCTGAGGTGGGCAGATCATGAGGTCAGGAGGTCGAGACCAGTCTGGCCAAATAGTGAAACCCCTTCTCTTCTGAAGGTACAAAAAATTAGCCAGTCATGGTGGTGCACACCTGTAATTCCAGCTACTCGGGAGGCTGAGGCAAGAGAATCGCTTGAACCTGGGAGGTGGAGCTTGCAGTGAGTAGAGATCATGCCATTGCACTCCAGCCTGGGCGACAGAGTGAGACTCCATCTCAAAAAAAAAAAATGAATCCCTTTGCAATTGTCCAGGATATTATACGTTGTTGTTAACTATAATCACCATATTGTACAATAGATCTCTTGAGCTTATTCTTTCTATGTAACTGAAATTTTGTATTCTTTGACCAATATCACCCCTCCCTGCAACCACACCAGACTTTTGTAATCACCATTTTACTCTCTGCTCCTATGAATTCAACTTTTTCAGATTCTACATATAAGTGATATAATGTGGTATTTGTCCTATGCCTGGCTTATTTTACTTAACATCATATCCTCCAGGTTCATCATGTTGTTTCAAATGACAGAATATCCTTCTTTTTAAAGACTGAGTAGTATTCCATTGTGTGTATCTATTACATTTTCTTTATCCATTCATCCATTGATAGACACTTATGTTGACGCTATATCTTGGCTCTTGTGAATAATGCTGCAGTGAACATGGGAGTGCAGATATTTCTCTAACATACTGAATGTATTTCCTTTGAGCATATATCCAGAAGTGGGATGGTTAGATCAGATGGAAATTCTATTTTTGGTTTTTTGGAGAAACTTTCAGATGGTTTTCCATAATGATTTCACTAGTTTCCGTTCCCACAGCAGTGTAACACGGTTTTCTTTTCTCCATGTCTTTGCCAACACTTGTTTTGTTTCATGTTTTTGATAACAGGCATTCTAACAGATGTGAGGCGATATCTAATTCTAGTTTTAATTTTCATTTTCCTGATGATTAGCAATGTTGAACATTTTTTCACAATCTATTTTAGCCATTTTTATGTCTTCTATTAAAAATGTCTATCTGGGTACTTTGCATATCTTTTAATAGGGTCATTTTCTTGCTATTGGATTATTTGAGATTCTTATATATTTTGGATATTAACTCCTTATCATATATGTGGTTTGCAAATATTTTCTAATTTGTGGCTTGTCTTTTCACTCTGTTAAATGTTTCTTTGCTGTGCAGAAACTTTTTAGTTTGGTGTAATCTCATTTGTGTATTTTTGCTTTTGTTCCCTGTGTTTTTAGGGTAGTATCAAGAAAATCATTTGGCAATATTTTCTATTTATGTTCAGGAAGTAAAAAAAATAGGGTTTACCACAACTGCCTAGGTAGATGACTAGGATGTACAGTACTACTTACTTTGATTTAAAAAAAATACTGGGAGCAGCAGATTTAGATGTATATGTTTAGGGAAGAAGGGTGTGTTCAGGATAGATGGTGTGATTTCAAACCTGTTGATTTTGAAGTGTCTCTGACTCATCCCATGGGCGAGTGCAGAAAATTACCATAAACATCAACTTGGAGATCAGAGGGAAGGTATAGTTTTTAGCAATAGATTTGTTAGTAATTTACAAATAGGTGAATAACTTAACCACCCAATGCAATTTTACTATGTCTATCGCTTCTCAACCTCAAACCATCTGTTACTCTTAGACTACTTCTTTTGCCCCCATTTTTTGTTCATTTCCCATTGTCTCTCCTTCTTTATTAGCGTTTTTACTTTTCCTATTTTTTGCTTTCTCCTTTTTCTTTACTCTCTTCACATTCTGCTAGTATTCCTCTTTATTTGAAGTATGTTAGTCTTATCTTAACAAATATAATTTTAAAACAATAGAGAATTTAAGTTTTAAATTAAGAAATATGCCATTAAAGATAAATGCATACCTTTTAGAGTGGGTATTTAATAATAACCTAGAAAAGCCATAGGCATTGATTATTACCATGTGTATTTATACTTAAGTTGGCAAAACATTTTCTGGAAGAAGCTGGGTAGCAACTCTGGATTTCATTTTTCTAAATATCATACTGATATTTTTCCAAGTTGGTGTCCAATATAGTTAATCTCTAGAGCTTTTTGGAGTTTGCTTTAACTGTGGCAGATGTTTGTATATTCTCCTTTCTCTCTTGTTGCAACAGACACACAAGGAAGATAAACTTTGTATTTGATTTCATCTACTTAATAAGCAGTTACAAAAGCTATCCTCATCAGACTTATTATTATGGTCTTTAGCAATGACTTAAATACTTTTGGTAAGCCGTATGTAGCTAATGAACTACTGGTTCTATGAAAGAAACAAAAAAGATAATTAGCATAGAAAAAAGACAGTGATATTAAAGGTGCCATTGGTAATGTCATGGAGTTGTACCTAAAGGAACTATGCCGTGAACTTCTAATCAACATCGTGGAGTTCATACTAATAGGAAAGTACTGGTTAGAAATGAGAAAGAATTGTATCAGTCAGAAATGTCACAAATTAAGTCGAAATGAGTAATCTGTATGTGTGTTACTTCACTGTGAAGAATCTGGGATGGCAGCACTAAAAACAGTCTGGTCTGGAAGTATTGTAGCGGTATCTTCACATAAAAATTGTTTGGGGGTGCTCTTTTTTTCTTTCCTACCTTATTTTAGGGCTATGTGGTATCCTTTTGAAGAGTCGAAGGTGAGTTCCTTTCTGGGTGTGACTTCTAAGTCTGACCTGGTGAACAACAGAAGGGCTTTCTTCACTCCGTTGCTTTTCTGAAGCAACACTGACAAGAAAACAAGTTCAAATTTGTTTCATTTAAAAAAGTGTTAACAGTTACCGGAAATCTGTGTGACTCCTACTTCCATCAATATGAATGGAATACACATTCTAAAAAGTCTTCACACTGAGAAATATATGTGTCCTGAATAAGCAACAATAACAGCAAGACATGTATTGCCCAGATCACGAAGAAAGAATAGGAGCCTCCCGTCTGTGGGTTACAAAAAAGGGAAAATAAAACATAGTAAGCATAACTTAATTAACTGAAATAAAAGTGGTAGGTAAAATAGAAAACTCAAACTGCCTTGGGAATAAATATCAAAGTCAGGAAGTTAAAGTTTGGAAATTAATGGCAATGAAAGAAAATGAGAGTGACATGAAGTGGACCTGTAAGGAAACCAGCTGAACTTAATATGATTGAAGTGATGACAGATTTTCTTTTTTGATAATGACTGACTGGATAAATGTACCAACTCATTAAGAGCAAAGGAGTAACAATAATACCATCAATGTTTTTAAGACTTCTTAATAAAAACTAGGGGAAGCTAGGACACAATGGAATAATAGATTCTAAGTGCTGAAAGAAAATACACCATCTAGAATTCCATATTTAGTGAAAATATCTTGTAACAATAAAGGTAGAATGAAGACATTTTCAAAGAAACAAAACTTGAGGGTTTTTTTTCACCATAACATTTGTGCTGAAGAAAATAATAAAGGGTATTCTTCAAGGGGAAGAAGAATGATGAGAGATACAGAAAAGGGGTAAGGAGAAGTAAAAAGTTCAAACATATAGAAAAACGGAACTAAATATTTGATGTTTCAAATAATAAAAATACTATCTTATGAGATTTATAATATATGTAGGACTAAAATACAAGATGAAAGAGCATGAAAGCCACAAGAAAGTGAATGCAACGAAAGAAGTATAAGGTTCTTCCATCATAAAAGTACTAATTTATGTCTCTCATCAATTTAGATGCAAACATACTTAACCAAATATTAGCAAATGAAGCCAACCAATTATAAAAAGAATTTTACTTTGTGACCAAGTGAGGTTTATTCCAGGTATGCAAGACTGGCTCAATATTTGGAAATAAATCAGTTTAACCCGTCAAATCAGCGAGCTAAACAAGAAAAATCATATGATCATAAAAATTGATGCAGAAAAAGCATTGGCAAAATCCAATGCTCAGTCAAGAGAAAAACTTCTTACAAGTCAAGAATAGAGAGTAGATTACTCCAACTTGAAAAATAGCCTTTACAGAAACAAACAAACAAACTTACAACTAATATTATTCTTAAGGATGAAAGATCGAATGCTTTCCCTCTTAGACTTGAAACAAGGCAAATATGTCTGTTCTCACCACTCTTATTCAAAATAGGGCTGGAACTAGCCAAGAAAAAGAAAAGGCATAAGGATTGGAAAGAAAAAAGTGAAACTTTTTATTTATAATTTTATTTATAGGAAGTGCCAAGAAATTTATAAATATTCCTAGAAATAAGTGAATTCAGTAAGGTGTCAGTGTACAAGACCAACATACAAAAAAATCCATTTTATTCCTAAACACTGTCAATGAACAGGCAGAAACTAAAAATAAATATAATACCATTTATAATCACTCTAAATGAAATGCTTAGGTATTCACTTAATGAAACAAGGAGTGTATATATGCTGGAAGTTATAAAATTCCGATGAAGAAGCTGAAAGAAGATCTAAATAAACAAAAAGTCCTATCTTGTCCATTGATTAGAAGATTTAATATAGTAAGTATATCAATTCTTCTCATATCTATCAGTTTAGTTTGGTTCCTGCCAATGCTCCATCAAAAGTTTTGTGTAGACACAGACAAGGTTACATAAAATTTATGTGGAAAGGAACAGACCCTAGAATAGCTAAAGCAATCTTTACAAATAATAAAAAGTTGGGGGAAATTACTCTATCCAATATTAAGTCTTACTATATGGCTACAGTAGTCAAGACAGTGCAATATTGGTAGAAGGGTAGACATACAGCTCAATGGAACAGAATAGAAAACCTAGGAACAAAGTCACACAAATATGTACCATTAATTTTTAGGACAAAAAAAAACAAGAAGTAGAAGAAAGATAGGCTTTAAAAATGACAAAATTTTGGAAATAAAGAACAGATTAATATTTGCCAGGGATTAAGAACGGGGGTGGGAGCAACATGGAGAATTTTTGTGGCATTGGAACAGTTCTGTATTTTTATTGTGATGATGAATATATGAGCCTACACAGGTGATAAAATTATATAGAATTTAATATATGGATGCAAATGAGCACAAGTTAACTGGGGACATCTAAATAAGATCAGCAGATTATATCAGTGTCAATATTTTGATTGTGACATTATACTATAGTTTAGCAATATGTTATCTTTTTTAAAAATGGGGCAAAGAATACAAGGATTTCTCCATATTATTTCTTACAATTATTTCAACTGCATGTGAATATATGATTATTTCAATAAATATCTGATTTTTAAAAAAATCAACCCAAAAAACAGAAAGAGTAGGAAAAAAAACATAAGTACAGGTCAAATAAAAACGTATTATGTTTAGACAAAATACCAAAAACAATAGTGATTATGTCAAATGTAAATGGAGAAAGTAATAGACAAAGATTGTAAAATTGAAAAATCTGTGGCTTAAAGAGGACACACTTTAAATATAAGAACATAGAAAGTTTGAAAGTGAAAATATAATATATAATTAAAAGGATAATATACGCAAAAAGACTAGTACGAGTATGATTTTATTATATAATACAGATTTTAGGCAGAAAGCATCCTCAGAGCTAAAGAGTAGTGTTTTATAAAGTTACCTGGGAAGTTATATAATTCTAAATTAGTATTAATTTGAAGAAATTAAACTCTCAAATTTATTGAGAAGTAAATAAAACCAGAAATAATGAAGACTAGCTGGAGGAAGAACAAAGTCAGAAGATTTACTTTATTAAAACACTAATAATTAAGATTGTGACATTAGTATAATTATACACATATAAATGAATGGGACTTTTTTAAAGAAATATGAATGGGACATTTATATGTGTATAAAGTTCAGAAAAATACTCAAACATAGGTAGACAACTTGGTTAAAAGAGTGACTTTTGTAGAGAAGTAGGGAAGGATGAACTTCTTTTTTTTTTTTTTTTTTTTTTTTTTTTGAGACGGAGTCTCGCTCTGTCGCCCAGGCCGGACTGCGGACTGCAGTGGCGCAATCTCGGCTCACTGCAAGCTCCGCTTCCCGGGTTCACGCCATTCTCCTGCCTCAGCCTCCCGAGTAGCTGGGACTACAGGCGCCCGCCACCGCGCCCGGCTAATTTTTTGTATTTTTAGTAGAGACGGGGTTTCACCTTGTTAGCCAGGATGGTCTCGATCTCCTGACCTCATGATCCACCCGCCTCAGCCTCCCAATGAACTTCTTGATAAATGATGCTGGGTTTATGGATATTCATATAACACCCACCAAAACCTTATACCCGCCTCATAGCATATACAAATATCAATCTTTAATGGATTGTAAATCTAAATGTGACATATACAACATACAACTTCTAGAAGCTAATATGGGAGGGAGGATATCTTCATAATCTTGAGTCAGGAATTACTATGTAAGCAGAAGAAAAAGTGTACTAACCACAGAGAAAAAGATTGATAAATTAGACTATATTCAAATTTTTAAAATCTGTTTATCAAACCACTATTAGGAGAGTTAAGCAGCAGAACTCCAGAATCAGATAAGATTTTTGTAGCACATATACCAGATCAAATACTCATATCCAGAACATATAAAGGATTTATCCTAATCAAATTAGATAACCAGTGGAAAATAAGCAAGATGTTTGAATGGGTACAGGAAACAGTATATCCAGATAGCCAATACACATGTGGTGAATTGGTCAAATCCACAGCAGGTCCCAGGGCAGCCACTGCATTTGCTCTGAGAGACGGTCCTGCTTAGATGACCTCACAGGAGAGAGCTTCCTACCTAACTTGAATTATTACATGAGAGAGAAACTGTATTCCATCTTGTGAAAAACCATTCTAATTTTGAGTCTCTGTGTTACTATAGCTTAACCAATGTATTAAAAAACAGCAAAATTTGTCAAGCTTACCGTAAAACTAATATAGAAAGATTAATTGCATTTCTATGCTCTGGCAAGATACAGAGAGTATAACTTACAAAAAAAGTTAGATCTATAAAAATTGATACGTGGAATCAAAGCAAATTTAATAACAGAATTTTTCATGAAACTTGATAAATTATTCTAAAACTGCCATGAAAGAGCGAAAGGCCAAGAATTGCCAAGACTCACCTGAAGAACAAGGTGAGGGGGTTTAATTTAAAGATATCAAAAGTTATTATAAAACTGTAGCAATTTAATAATGTAACAATAGTACAGGAAAGGATACATAGGTCAATGGAAGACATTGAAATATTAGAAAGTGACCCATTCATACCTAGAAATCTGTTATACAATGAGCAAAGAACTATAGAGCAAAGGAAGAAAGGTGAACTCTTCAATAAGCTGTGCTTGGGTTATTGGTTACCCATATGGAAAAAAAGTAAAATTTCTATTTCACACTATACTAAAAACTTTATTGCAGATATTTAAAATATATTAATATAAAAACACTAAAAATTTTTAGAAGGAAATATAGGAGAGAAATTTCATGGCCTCGTGAAGGGAAATTTTTCTTAAGAAAGACACAGAAAGGCAAAATCATCAAGGAAAAGATTAATACTTCTCCTTTGCTTAAATTAGAAACATCTGTTCATCAAAGGACATCATTAAAAAGCAACAAGACACCACAATTCTGGGAAAAATGTATAAAGCCAACAAAGGATTTGAGCCTGTGAAAAATAACCACCTATAAGTCAATAAGAGGAAAACAAACAATTTAGTAGAAAATGTGGGCAAAGACAGATAAACTTTTCTTACAAGAAAAAACAAAAGGCCAAGAAATACATGAATATATACCTAGCCTCACTGGTAATATGAAATACAAAATTAAGACCATGGTCAAGTAGGATTTTCCATTCACTAGATTGTCAAACATTAAAACACTGAAGGCTGGGTGCAGTGGCTCACACCTGTAATCCCAGCACTTTGGGAAGCCAAGGCGGGCAGATAACCTGAGGTCAGGAGTTCAAGACCAGCCTGGCCAATGTGGTGAAACCCCGTCTCTACCAAAAAATACAAAAAGTAGCAAGACTTGGTGGTGGGTGCTTGTAATCCCAGCTACTTGAGAGGCTGAGGTGGGAGAATCACTTGAACCAGGGAGGCAGAGGGCAGTGAGCTAAGATGGTGCCAGTGCACTCCAGCCTAAGTGACAGAGTGAGACCCTGTCTCAATGTAAACAAAAACAAAGCACACTGGAGACTATTAAGAATTTTTTAAGAAATACCTTATATGCAATGGATGGAAGTGTAAATTGGTATAACCATTTTGGGAAGCAAGTTGTATTGTCTTGTAAAATTGAGTATCAATTTTTGGCATGGGAATTGAGCTACTATAATACACTCTCAAAACCCTTGACTATGTTCACCGTTTATAGAAGCATTAATTGTAGTAGTGATGAACTGGAAACAACAAAAATTACTACTTTGAGAATGGATAAAGTACGATAAGATGGAATAATTTATGGCAGTGAAGATTAGTGAACCATAACTACCAATGTCAACATGAATTAATTTCAAAAACATAATGTTGGGAAAAAAATCCACAAATCATAGGAGTGATGAGGGGAATATAATAGGGAAAGACACCCAGGAGTTCACCAATTTGGTATTCCTTGATTTCTTAAGCTTAGTGGTAGGTGGTTCATGTTCATTTTATCATTGTTTATAATAATACATGTATAGATTATACACATTGTATATGTTTGTATTGTATTATACATAAAAATGAATAAAATAAATAATCAGTAGTTTCAGGTCTGTGACATGTAGTTAGGTAAAAAGTTAGACAGGAACACATGTCATCAGACGACTTCATCCTCAGTTTGCTCTGCAATTTATTATGACATGATATGAAGAAAACTCAGTGTGTGATGTTCCCTTATGTTGACCTAATGATATTTATGTTGCAAAAGTATATAAAAGGCAGCCTCTTGGATGTTTTAGACGAAATTTGCTATTGATAAGGGTTGAAGATGTTGAATGGGCTGGGGCCTCTTCATCATTTCTCCTGTTTGCCTGACGGATAATGTTCATCCACTGAGAGCAGTTAATCTCAAATCCCTCAGAGGGTGTCTTAGTCAGCTCGTGCTGCTATAACGAAGTATCACAGATGGGGTGGCTTAAACAGCAGATGTCTATTTCTCACAATTCTGGAGGCTGGGAAGTATGAGGTCAAGGTGCCAGCAGATTTTATTTTTGGTTTACTGACAGCTATATTCTCCCTGTATTGTCACATGGTGAAGATAGAAAGAGTGTCTCCCTCTTTCTGTAAGAGTGCTAATTCCATCGTTGGGGCTTCACCTTCATGACCTCATCTAAATCTGATTACCTCCCCAAGACTCCACCTCCAGATACCATTACATTGGGAATTAGGGCTTCAACATATACATTTTAGGGGGATGTAAACATTCAGTCTATAACAGAGGAATTGGACAAAGTCACAAATTCTTTCTATAAATATTGTCCTGGGTAGCTACTGTCAACTAACCAAAGTTAACTCTCAAACCGGAACTCATTTGCCTTCACTATACTAGACCACAATTTAAGACTAACCACCATGCTGGACCACACATGTGTAAATGGAGGAGTAGTTTTGCTTTAGTTATTCTAAGTTAAGAGCCAGAACAAATGAAGAAGTTACAAAAAGGTAAAATCTGGAAGGAATAAACCCCCAAAACCAACCCTTTCATTGTTTACATTTTTGACATAAAATTTACATACAGTTAAATGTACAAATATTAAGTATCTACCTTGATATGTTTTGACAAATACATAAATACATGTGTCTCCCATAAACTATCAAGTCACAGACTTTTCCATCCACCAGAGAGCTTCCTGGAGATACTTCCCAGTTAATCTCCTCACTTTTCTATTTCTCATCACAAATAAATAGTTTTACCTATAGGAGAACTTTATATAGAGAATCATATGGTATGTTCAGTAATCTCCCATTATCTGTGGTTTGCTTTCTGCAGTTATCCTGTCAACTGCTGTCTGAAAATATTAAATGAAAAATTCCAGAAATAAACAATTTGTAACTTTTAAATTACATACCATTCCTAGAGGTCAATCAGGTTCGGTGGTGTCTGGGGTTTCAGGTCTTCAACCATATTTCCCGAGGATAAGGCAGGGATTACCATGTCTAGTTTCTTTCACTCAGGATATTGGGTATGAGATTTATCCATATTGTTGTGTATTAAAAGCTCACCCCTTTTTCTTACAGAGTAGTATTTCTTTGTATGAATATATCACAGATTGTTTATTTGTTCTCCTGTTGATAGACATTTGTGTTGTTCCCAGTTTTGGGCTTTTATAAATAAAGCTGTTATGAACATTCATGTACTAGTTTATTTTGTGGACATGAGTTTTCATTCTCCTGGGTAAGTATCTAAAAGTGAGATGCAGGTCATAGGTAGATTTGTGTTTAATCGTATGGGAAACTAACAAACACTTTTCTAAATTGATTGTTTCATTTAACACTACCCACCAGTCTATGAGAATTCTTATGCTTCACATTCTCATTAATATTAGAGGTTGTCAATATTTTAATTTTAGCCATTTCAGTTGGTGTGTAATAGTAGCCAATTGCTCAATTTAATATTTACTAGCTAATTTAATACGCATTTTCCTGATGACAAATTATGTCGAACACTTTTTCATGTGCTTATTGGTCAGTTGTATATCTTCCTTTGTGAAGAGTCTGCTTAAGTCCTTTGCCAATTTTTATTATATCTTTTGTCCAGATACATGTTTTGTGAATATTTTCTCTCAGTGTATGTTTGGCTGTCATATACTTCATGGTGACTTTTGGGAAGTATTTTTAAATTTTGATGAAGTTTAATATACAGATATTTTCATTAATGGTTTTTGCTTCCTTTTATTCTACCTAAAAAAAGTCAGCCTATGCCAAGGTCATGAAAACCCAAAATTTTTTTTAGATGTTTTATGTTTTGTATTTGTCTTTAGGTTTATTATCCATCTAAATTATTTTGGCTTGTGTGTTGTGAGGTGATGATCAACATTCGTTTTTTTTCTCAGCTGTATGCCAGTTGAAAAGATTATCCTTTTCCCAGTGAATTATGTTTTGTAGAAACAAAACATAACAATTGATGTTTTGTAGAAAATCAATTGACCTTATAACTGTGAGTCTATTTCTGAACTCTATTCTGTTTTGTTGATCTATCTTCACGTTAAACCACCATATATTTATTATTGTAGCTTTATAGTAGTCTTGAAGGCATGTCGTATGAGTCTTTCATCTTTGTTCTTTTCGAAAAACGTTTTTGCTATTCTAGGTTCTTTGTACTCATACTTAAATTTTGAGTTAGCTTATATACATTTCTGTTTAACAATGCCTGCCAGAATTTTGATATGAGCAGCTTGAAGTGTAGAGATTAATTTGGGGAAAATTGACATCTAGTACTGAGTTTTCCAATCTATGAACATGATTTATCTCTCCATTTATTTAGGTCTTCTCTACTTTCTTTCAGCAATATTGTTTTTCAGTGTAGAGGTCTTACACAGTTTTTTATTAAATTTATTCCTGAGTATTGTATTTTAAAGAATACTCTGATATATATGTGTATGTATATATATATATATATATATATATAGAGAGAGAGAGAGAGAGAGAGAGAGAAGCTTTAAAAATTATGTTTTTCAATTGTTTAAAAATAGAGAAATACAATTGGTTTTATAATTGTCCTTATATCCTATGACCTTGATAAATTTAATTATGGTAGATGTTTTGTAGATATTTTAGAATTTTCTATGTAGAAAATTACAGTCAATAAATAGAGACAGTTTTTCTTTTTAATTTTTTTTGCCTTATTACATTGACTAGGACCACCAATAAAATGTTGAAAATAAGTGGTGAGAGTAGATATCCTTTCTTTCCTTTTTTTCCCAATCTTAAACATTAAATATTTCATTATTATTCACTATTATTTTAGCTTTAGGTTTTCTGTAAAATCCCTTTGTCATGTTGAGAAAGTTTCTGTTTATTATTAGTTTTGCTGAGAGCTTTTTACCAAGAATGGATTTTCAATTTTATCAAATGCTTTCTCTGTATATATCACAGATCATATTTTCTTTTGCTGGTCTTTTGATATTATAAAAAACAATGATTGTATATTGAATGTTGAACTAAACTCGTGTTACTATAATGGTCTTCATTTGGTCAAGATGCATTATCTCTTTTAAATATCCTTGGATTTTATTTGCCAGTTTTTTTTAAAGATATGTATATCTATATTCTTGAAGGATATTGGTCTGTAATTTTTTTCTTGTTTTCATATCAGGCTGTAGACTGGCCTAAACAAGTTGTGAAATGTTTTCTCCTATATTTTCTGAAGGAGTTTATGTAATATTACTATTGCTTCTTCTTCAGATGTTTAATAGAATTCACCGTGAATACGTGTAGATTTTAATATTTCCTTTCTGTTGCTCCTTCCTTTCTAAGATTTCCACCTCAATCTTTGAGCTTCCTCTGGCAACCTCAGTCTTTGAGCTTCTCAAGCTAATAAGATTATGGCTTTCTACTTGAGTTCTAGCCTGTCCATGCCAAATGAGCAGTAGAGGACTTAAGTGAAAAGCCATATATATGTAAATTTTACCTTGTGCAGTTCCCTGTTTTGTTTTCAGTCCCCTCTCACCAGTTTTGTTTTTGATTATTCCCTAGTGCCTTCAAATAATGTTTTTATATTTATATTTTTCCAGAGTTTATGACTATGGGGAAAGTTTTGTCCAATATAAATATATTGCTTGGAAGTCAAATAAGTTTCTATCAGAAAAATGTTTTTAACCCCTAAAGCCAACCTATCATTTGAAGTAGCTTGCTGCATGAAGTAGTGAGCCAACTGGACCTGGAATGATCAACAGGGGCTATATTAGCAGTTAATTTATCAATAATAGTTATCACATAATAGACAGCACATGGTACTAATAAAAATGAGTTTTGGATTAGATAAAAAATGGATTGGAGCTATTGTATTTATCCCTTCAAATTATGTCTGAAGGTCTGAATATTTCACTCTTGTAATCATAAAATACAGTATTTTAGGTACTTGTCAGATAATTTAACCTCAATTTGACTGCCATGAAGACTTATTAAAAGTTTTACTGAGAGAAGTTGCATTTATGTATTATTTTTAAAAGAAAATTTCAATTCACACAAAGGTTCATGGTCATCCTGAGGGTAATCCAGATATAATATTAATATACTGTCATGTTTATAAGTATAGGCCCTGGGGTTACACACTATGGACTCTGCTACTCTTTACCTATGTGATCATGGGCAAAATATTCAAGTTTTCCATACCTGAGTTGTCTAATCTATAAAATAAGGATGAGAATAATAATCCTTATAAGCTTCTTATATTCAATGTATAATGCATGATAAGTGCTGAGAAAGTTTCTGACACATAAGGTATATTAAATATATATGTTATAACCACAGACCTCAATTCCTGAACCCAAATATGTTCTTATTTCATAGACCTGCTTTCCATTATGCTATCACTTTGCAGTAAGGGTCCTTAAAGAATATCTTATAAACTTGTTATTGTGAGTAGGTAATGACGTTATTGTCTCCATTTTGCACATGAGAAAGCAGATGCTTAGAGAGTTCTGTAATTGGTCCAAGGCCATTTTGTAATACTCATACCCAGACCTGCATGATTCCATGCTCTCCTGTTAACCATGAGGCCATGTTTTATTTGGCCTGACCAATCTCAAGCACGACAGAGCACTGACTGGCTTGCTATGCATCTACAAATACTCAGTTTTTTTAGTTCACACTCATTTTCTTATGACTTTAATGATGTGGCTTAGCTCTTCTGTTCAGGGTCAAAACATGCATTTAAAGGGATTTCAGTGAACTAACATTAGGATAAACTCACTTTGACAGGTAGAAAATAAAATCACTACTATTGTTATCACTGTCATTATTGTCCCTGATAATTATACATGTGATAGTAATGATACAGAATCATAGGGTTGGAAAGCCCATGAAATGACACTTAGTGTTTCTCCTACTTTAAACATTTGCAACATCAGATGACCCACTGTCCAGGTTCGTGCAGGAGTTTCCCAGGATGGGATCTTCATTGCTAAAACCCTGAAGGCCCTGGGCAAGCTTGGACAAGCTGGTCCCATTATAAATGAATGCTAACCTTTCTTGCTTAGTTTTTGCCTTCTATCTTTGCACCAAACTGGGTGGAAGCAGATGCAGCTGGTTACCATTTAAAAAATAATAACCCCTCACATATCTGAAGACTGTTGTCATTCTTTTCACTTTTATCCCCCCAGGCCAACTAATGGGACTTTACCAAGGACTCCCTTCACCTGGTATTTTACACTCATGGATCAGGGGATGGAAAAGAGACATGATGCAAAAGCCCTGCCCAAAGGCGCTAAAGAAGGGAGTTCTAGTTCCTTTCACCTTTGCCCATAGGCCTTGTTTTCCAACCCTTTAATTATCTGTATTGATTTGCTTTGAACATTGTGCTAATTCAACATGTCCCTTGTAATTTGTGGAAACCAGAAATGTGCACAATATTTAACTGTGAAGTGACCATGCCATGCTGTATAAAGTAAGATCCCACAGATGCTCTGAGGACCCCTGAGGAGATGTCTGAGGAAGTACTTCTACTTTTCTATTTGTTATGTCTGCTTTGCAACCATTTTAAACTCTCTCCATACCATAGCAGATTTCCAGCTTGCCTGGAAGCCCTGTATGACACTTGCAGTAAGAGCTCATCAGTACCAAGACGGAGATTTGTGTTACAAGGAGAAGGACTATTCATAAACCGCTCAGCCTTGTGTTAATCTCTGTGGTTTGAAATTAGAAAATTATACTTGATCTTTCATTTGTAAATACTTTTCATGACAAAAAATGAACCGCGAATATTCCATTATTCTAACCATCCCCTCTTCCAATTTGCCATCTGCCTTTTATTAAATTGCATTTGGACTACTTTCTCTAGAAAAAAAATTCTACCCTTGCCAATTGCTGTCTCACATACATTAGTTTAGGAATTCAAGCCCATGTCATAGTCACCTTGTTCCTTGATTCAGATCTTTTCACCATTTAAACATAGAAAATATTTCTTTGGAACAGGCGTTTAGAAATACCTAGGAAACTCCAGCAGCTTACAAAGAAATGAGTTTACTTTGTGTTTCTAGATTAAGCTCTGGAAATACGTAACCATTTAGCATTTTGTTTTTGAAATACAGTATCATCATTTATGGTCTAGACACCACAGACAGCTGTTCAAATTAAATTCAAATGGGCCTTGTTTCTGCTATATTTATTTAAGATGTCTAGCTAAATATCTGAGTAATCTTGGCTTGAGTCCTTAAACAGGGATTAGAAAATTCCAATTGTTGGTTTTCTTTTCTTTCAAGCTGGATGCTAATGGAACTTTCCTACAAAAGTTGGGTTATTTTAAGTAAAAAATGTTGTTGTTTTTTATTTCCTCTTCTTTATATGGCAGCCAGTCGGCCTTGCCAAAAATTTAGGGAAAATTAATAAAAAATGAATGTAAATGGAAGTTTATCTTGAAATAAAATCTCTTTTAAAAATAAATGTTTGGATTTCCCTTCTCCCTGTTGACCACATTGTATGGTGCCACATTGGAAACTATAGCTTTCATGTTTGAGAAAACTACATCATTTAAATTAAAAAAATTTATTTTAAAAATATTTTTTCTGTTCTACTCATTGACACATATTTGTGTAAATTTCAGTAGACCTGGCAATATCATTAGAGTCGAGATGTTTTAACTTGCGTTGCTAGTTAATTTATCAAAGAATAGTAAAAATTTGGATATGTTTTAATACTTCAGCATATAACCATAAAAACACATTTCTGGGTGGTGTTACGTTTAAGAATGATTCCACATTAATTTACATCTGCTTCTAAAGCATTAGGAACTATAAAGTTATACATGCATTATAATAAGATTATCTCATATATTTGGATAAATAGAGGCTTGTAATTGACACCTTTCCTTTTGCATCGTAAGAGAGAAAGAGAATCAGTCCAGGATTTTGCAATGCCAGCACATACTTTTGTTTTGTTATGAAATAACTGTTTTTTGCCTGAAATCAGGCAAGCATAGCCATTTTGTGTTTCCTATGCCCTGAGGGGGGGAAATTTTCTATCTCTGATGTAATTAAATTTTTCCTTGTGGTTTTGGTTCTCATTGTTGGGGGGAAGCAAGTAATTATTTCTGATGAGTATGATTAGTTCCACACATCTGCAATAATGCTTTTATTTTTTTGAAATAAGGCATAACTTAAATACAGTGAAATTCACTCTTTTCATTGTACAGCTTTGCTACAAAAGCATACAATCGTGAAACAACTCCCACAATCAAGATACAGAACAATTTCACTACTTGCTTGTCTATTTTTAATATGTAAATTAAAAGAAGTCCAGCACTTTCAACAGACACGTTTGGGCTGAGTGGTTCAGGTACATGAACAAGGACAAAGAAGCCTAAAGGGTTAATCCATCCATTTTCTTATTAATCTTATCTTTGTGGTTATAATTGTGATGATGATGGTTACAAATCACTGAGGCTATTTATGTGGCATGCACTGTGCTAAGCACTTAATATGCATATTGTATTCAACTGTATTAATAATCCAAGAGCTTTCACACACATTTTATAGACTAAACAAATCTTAGATCCAGGGAGATTAAGTAACCTTCCCTCTATCACATGGCCAGAAAGTGGTAGAGGTGGGATTTGTACTCCTATGATTGCTAAGTATGTGTTCTTAAACCAGGACATTATTCTACCTGGCTTTCAATGATGCCAGTGGTATTTAAAGGACTTGATCTTTTCTTGCTGTTCCTGATCCAACATTCATGAACAATTGATAAGTCATTGAACTATGTTGAAATTACTATCCTCACTAGATTAACTAAGTAATTCAACATGTATTTATTGAATGCTTACAATATGCTAGGTGATGAGTATATAACAGTAAGTAAAAGAGACAAAATTTCCTGCCCATTTGGAACTTTATTGTTGACAATGAACAAAATTAATGAGTACAATATACAGTATGAATGTGGATTATATAGTACTATGGAAAAGGAAAAGCTGAAAAAGTGGGTAAGAAATTGAGGGAATGTTTCCATTTTTGTCATGTTGATCACTGAAAAGCTGTCATCTGAGTAAATACTTGAAGAAGGAGGGGAAGTAAGCCCTTTGGACATCTGAGGGAAGAATGTTCCAGGCAGAGGGAAGCAGGAAGACCAGTTAGAAGGCTTTTGCAACCACCCTGATGAGAGCTGATGGTGGTTCAAATGAGTTGTTGGAAGAGGAGGTGTTGAGAAGTGGCAGGATTTTGGATATATTTTGAAAGTAGAGCACTCATCATCTGCTGATGGAGTGGATATGGGTTGTGAAACAGATTGAGAAATTAATGATGGATCTAGGGTTTTGATCTAAGCCTGGAATTGGCCAACAATGGCCCATGGGCCAAATCTGGCTTATGATCTGTTTTTGTATGACCCAGAAGCTAAGAATGGTTTTAACATTTTTAAAAAATGTTCAAAAAAACCCCACAAATAATGTGCATCAGAAGCCGTACTCTCTAGACTTTTACTGAAAAATTTCTGTGACCACTGGTGGAAACACTGAAAAAATATATGTATTATCAACTGAGATAAGAAAAACTGGGGCAAGAGTAACGTTTAAGGAGGAATATTAAAAATTGAGCTTTCAACATGGTGAGTTTGAGATACCTAGCAGACACTCAGGTGGCACTGAATTTCTGAGTTGAGAGACAGAACCTATGCTAGAGGTAACATTCCAGACTCACCCATGTAAAGATAGAATTTCAAGCTGTGATTTAGATGGATAATCAAAAAAGTAAGAGTATATAGAAAATAGAAGGGAAATTCAAAAGGTGAACCCTAGGATGTGCCAGCAAGAAGATGTGAAGGAGATACAAGAGAAAAATAAGAGACCCGAGTGTGGAGAAGCAGGAGATAATGGTACCCTAGAAAAAAGGAAATTCAATAGATCATGTGAGTTTTAGTTCTGGGAAAAATATGCACAGTTCATGTGCTTCAGAAGCACCTACATGGAGTGGAAACTTTGAAATTATTTCTTATTGGCAAGTTTGTAAAATATTTAAAATTGGAAACTGCTCATAAATGACACATCGGTAATTTATGGGATGTTAATCTGTAATATATAAACACATCACTGGATATTGCTTTGCTTGATGTTAATTATACACAAACACATATAAAAAACCTTTTTCTCTTTTCATTTAAGTGTTTAGATTGCAAGATTGCACAAATACATGCATAAACAAAAAGACTTTCAGTGCTTAACAAATGTTACCTCCAGATTGTCTAACACACGAGATTTTTTTTTCTTGGTCATATCTGACTACTTGTTCAATGGTTTAATTTCTCAAATATCTGGAAGAGATTTTCATGGTTCCAGATACAAGAAGTTTACACTTTTGATCATAGTCAAAGGGATAGGCAAACAATTTAGAATGAATATTATCATAGGGGTTGTATCAGGACAAAATCTGGCTCTAATTTTTTTTTTTTTTTTTTTTTTTTTGAGACGGAGTCTCACTCTGTCGCCCAGGCTGGAGTGCAGTGGCGCGATCTCAGCTCACTGCAAGCTCTGCCTCCCGGGTTCATGCCATTTTCCTGCCTCAGCCTCCCAAGTAGCTGGGACTACTGGTGTCAGCCACCATGCCCGGCTAATTTTTTTTTATTTTTCGTAGAGACGGGGAGTCTGGCTGTAATTTTAATGTACTGTAACATGAGGAATGGACTTAAATCTGAAAATTATTGGATATAAAATTTTAGTGTATTAACCGAGAAAACTTTTGTATAAAAAGTTTCTACTATATAATGGAAATAAAAGAATAATCAGAGGATGAGGAAGGTAAAAATTAACCAGGATACCAAAAATAATTAACATGTCTTTATTAAAAATAAAGTTTCTAGTTAACACACTGGAAATAAATTCTTTTTACCAATGGTTTCTGAATTTACCTAATCAAGATAAACTATTAGCCCCACATTGAAGTTGGAATAGATGACCTCTACAGTTCCTTCAGCTCTAACATTCCCCACCACCTGCAGAAAGTATGAGATTCTATTTCGTTCAAATATGTAGTTTCTTTAAGAGATATTAATTATCCCAACAGATCAGAACATATCCTATTCTAAGCTTTTGGAGCTGCTACTACATGCTAACATGAAACTTTAATTTGAAAGTAAATTAAGTTGACTAAATAATGGAAATTGAATAATTACCCATTTAAAGTTTGAAGAAAAAGGTGAAAGATTTATACAATCTGAATTTTTAAAAATAGGATTGCATCAAACTAAAAAGTTTGCACGTCAAAGGCAACAACAGAGTGAGAGACCCTACAGACTGGGAGAAAATATATGTAAATCATATGTCTGATATGGAATTAATATCCCAAAATACAAGGAACTCGAACTACTCAACAAGAAAACAAATAACCCTATTAAAAATGGGCAAAGAGCCAGGCGTGGGGGCTCACGCCTGTAATCCTAGCACTTTGGGAGGCTGAGGCGGGCAGATCACCTGAGATCGGGAGTTCAATACCAGCCTGACCAACATGGAGAAACCCCATCTCTACTAAAAATACAAAATTAGCCAGGCATGGAGGTGCATGCCTGTAATCCAAGCTACTCGGGAGGCTGAGGCAGGAGAATCACTTGAACCCGGGAGGCGGAGGTTGCGGTGAGCCAAGATCGCACGACTGCACTCCAGCCTGGGCAACAAGAGCAAAAACCCCGTCTCAAAAAAAAAAAAAAAAAAAAAAAAAAAGGCAAAGAACCTGGTTAAACATTTCTTGAAAGATACAAATGACCAGCAGATGTATGAAAAAATGCTCAACATCACTAATCACCAGGGAAATGAAAATTAAAACCATAATAAGATCACATTATACCTGTTAAAATAGCTTATTACAAAAAAAAGAAAGATAATAAGTGTTGTCTAGGATGTGGAGAAAACGGAACTCTTGCCTGCTGTTGGTGGAAACATAAATGTGTACAGCCATTATGAAAAGTAGTATGGAGGTTTCTAAAAAAGTCTAAAAATAGAATTACCATATGATTCAGGAATCCTTCTGGATATATAGCCAAAGGAATTGAAATCAGATTGTCAGTGAGATACCTGTGTTCCCATGTTCACTGCAACACTATTCACAATGGCCACTTTGTGGAATCAACCTAAGTGTCTATCAGCAGATGAATACATAAAGAAAACATGCTGTAGATATATACAATGGAATACTATTTAACTTAAAAAAAAAAGAGATATTCTGTCATTTGAGACAACATGAATACATCCAGAGGACATTACAGTAAGTAAAATAAGCCAGGCACAGAAAGATCTCATGATTTCACCTAAATGTAGATCTGTATCATCTCACCTAAATGTAGAATCTAAAAAAGTCAAATTTATAGAAATAAAGAGTAGAATGGTGGTTACCAGGGGATAAGGGTACAACATTTCAGAGAGGAGGAATATGATTCAGTGATCTATTGCACAGCATAGTGATCAGAGTTAATAATAAAGTATTTTATATTTTGAAGTAGCTAAAAGAGTAGATTTTAAATTGACTCACCACAAAATAATGATAAATATGTGGAGGTGATGGATATGTGAAATTAGCTTGACTTAATGCTAACATATTCATGTACTCCATAGATATATGCAATTAGTATTTGTCAATTAAAAATGAGATACAATTTTTTTAAAGCTTGATGTAATAAAGACTTTTATGTCTGTACTTTATCTCAACATGTGAATGTCCTCATCACACTTTAGAATTATGTCATTTGTGTGGCATGCTCATGACCTTTAGCAGTCTGCTAAAATCTTCCTAAAACATGACTCTAGTTATGTTATCTCCGCTCTTTAAGAACCAAAGTGTATTAGTCCATTTTCACACTGCTATACAGAAACACCCCAGACTGGGTAATTTATAAAGGAGAGAGGTTTAATTGACTCACAGTTCCACATGATTGAAAAGGCCTCAGGAAACCTACAATCATGGCGAAAGGCGAAGGGGAAGCAGTCACCTTCTTCACAAGGAGGCAGAGGGAAGAGAGAGGGAGCGAAGGGGGAAGCACCCTTATAAAACTATCAGATCTCGTGAGAACTCACTCACTATTACAAGAACAGCATAGGGGAAACCGCCCCCATTATCCAATCACTTCCCTCTTTCGACACGGGATTACAATTCAAGATAAGATTTGGGTGAGGACACTGAGTCAAGCCATATCACAGAGTCAAGTCCAAGTTCATTATTAGCTTGGTATTTGTGATCACACATTAGTTGGACCCATTTATTTTCTCTATCCCACCTATTTCCTCTACTTTCCAATACTTGCCATTCACTCTTGTTAAGACAACCTCACTACAGTCTGCTTCATACACACAGACACCCCATGGCTCTTTTTTCTTTCTTAGTGTTCTTTCTCATTGTCTATGCCCTGTAAATTTCCCAATTAACATGTACTCATTTATTCAATCAACAGATATTTTTAAAATACAAGGTACAGGGAAGCACAGGTGAGAGCCTATATATTACATGTGTGTCTCCTTGCAGGTTTTTTACTGGAGCTTCTTTCATGGTTTCTTCAGCCCTGTTGTGATTCCTTCAGTAATACCACCTCCCTTTCAGACTGAGTGATTCTGTGGTTAGAGATCTGTGCCTATTGTAACTACGACATTTATCATGGTCTTTTTTAGCAATCTATATTTATGAGCATAAAGCCAAGTCGTTTTTAGCTAGGTTTAATAACCATAACAATAATAATAATAGCAGCTAATATTTATTAAACACTGACTATGAGCCAAGCCCTTTTCTAAGCATTTCATGTATATTAAGCCATTGAATGCTGATGACATCAGCACAAAATATTAGCTTACATACAGTGATGAGGCACTGAAAAGAATATTATGAAACTATAGGCTCTGAACTCTGTCAGTGTAGCCAACTGAGGTATGTTATTTGCTTAATCCAGTGAATAGTTGGATGCCATGGGGACTGATTGGTTTGTAAGCAATAAGGTTATAATGTCTTTGATCCGCAATGTGTATCATCCAGAAATTTTATAAGCAGACTTTCAGTGCATTTACCTACCTCAGGCAAACACTTGAATAGGACAAGCAATGAATAAAGCCTTGTGAAACTTCTCTTCAGTTGCTATGAGTCCATCAATTAATCCATTGTGAAATAATCTTTCAACTGATTGCAGATTGTCTGCCTGCAACATCATACAAGCCATATTTCTTTATCTTTTTCACAGCATATCAAAAACCCTGTCCAATGTCTTGTTGAAATTCATTTACACTATATCTATTGGATTCCCATAATCTACCAGCTTAATTTATTTAGATGAAAAAAATAAGGTCAATTTATCATGGTTTACTGGTGAATTTATGGTGGCTTATAGTGAATGTTATTTTTATTTCCCAAAAAGCTCATAAAGTCATACTATGATATATGGTAGAAACTCTTCTAGAGGCTGACTTTAGTATTCCTTTCTTGAACTTTGGTAGGGTGAACTTTCCTTCAATTTCTGGAGCTGTCCTATTCTTTTGCATCTTTTCCCTGATTCTAATCTTTCTATGGTTCTCTCATTCTGCATGATTCACGTTTATCTTATTCTCAATTCTGTGATCACAATGGCAAACTCTGGTCATATAGAACCACATTGTTTTAAAACACTTCTCTGTTTTCTTCTGGACATCTTTGGTTTTTATTGGTGAAGATTTGAGGTTAGGGAGAAGCAAGGATTGCTAGAAAAGATAACAATATTAGAAAATAAAACTGTGCAGCCTATCAGTTAGGTTCTTAGTTGCAAGCAATGAGGTGTTTATTGAGTATATTGGCTAGATTAGAGAGTCATTGGAAGGACTGGAGAATAGGGCTCAAGGCAAAGTTCCCAAGCACCAGATTCAAAATCAAGCTGCAGAACCATTCATGAGTAAACTGGTCTGTATCTGAGCACCAGAAGTGACTGTTTGCAATGCAGCTACCTCTGCATCAGGAATTTCAGCCTGTAGTCTTCGCTTCTGTACACACTGCCAGGGAGAGAAAATGTAAACCGCCTAGGCTTTTGCTGTCTTATGTCCCATGTCTAGACTCTAAGTCTGGCACTTTGATTGGCAGATTCAAGGTTAACATGCCTCACTCTCGGTGCAAGGGAGGCTGGAGAAATAAGTATCCAACATATTGTGCTCCTATAAAGGGAGCTGGTCTTGGATTGCAGCCCAAACTCATGAAGTGAGGCATTCCCCAAACATAAAGAAGTTCACTATAGACAGTAATGTGTAAGAAAAAAAATTCTAGCTACAAGAGTTCATCTGTCTGGGATCATCTCATGTAAGTGAAAACAGTCAGTCCATATACCTTAATATCTTCTGACAGTATAATGAGATAGATTACCACTTTCAGTGTTCAATTACAGAATTTGAGACTCAGAAGGCTTAAGTTACTTGTCCTAAGTCACTCACTCACAAAGTTTCAGAGTGAGGATATGAACTGAAGTCTCTATTTTAAAAATCTGTGATTTCTTCATTATAGCATTGAGAGGTTTTTCATAGAGAAGTATTTATTAAGTAGATGTTGGCACTAATAATCTAGCAATTTTTTTCCAGCCTTTGTTTTAGGTTCATGGTGTATATGTGCAGGTTTGTTACATGAGAAAATTGCATGTCACAGGTGTTTGGTGTATAGATTATTTCATCACCTAGGTAATGAGCATAGTACCCTACAGGTAGTTTTTTTATTTTTACCCTCCTCCTACCCTCTACACTTAAGTAGTTTCTGGTGTCTGTTTTTCCCTTCTTTGTGTCCACGTGTAATCCCACTTATAAGGGAGAACATGTGGTATTTGGTTTTCTGTTCCTGTGTTAATTTACTTAGGATAATGGCCTCCAGCTCCATCCATGTTGCTGCAGAGAACATGATCTCATTCTCTTTAGGGCTGCATAGTATTCCATAGTATGTATGTACCACATTTTTTTTAAACTTGTATTTTAAGTTCAGGGCACATGTGTAGGTGTGTTATATAGATAAATTGTGTGTCACAGGAATTTGGTATACAGATTATTTCATCACCCAGGTAATAAGCATAGTACCTCACAGGTAGTTCTTCCATCCTCACCCTCCTTCCACCCTCAAATCATCCCTGGTGTCTGTTTTTCCCTTCTTTGTGTCTATGTGTACTCAACATTTAGCTCCCATATATAAGTGATAATAACATGTGGTATTTGGTTTTCTGTCTGTGTGTTAGTTTGCTTAGGATAATGGTCTCCAGCTCCATCAATGTTGCCGTAAAGGCCATGATCTTGTTCTTTTTTATGACTGTATAATATTCCACGGTGCATTTGTACCACATATTCTTTATCCAGTCTACTGTTGATGGGCATTTAGGTTGATTCCATGTCATTGCTATTGTGAATAGTGCTGGGATGAACATATGTATGCATGTGTCTTTACAAAGAATGATTTGTATTTTTTTGGATATATAGCAATTAATGGGATTGCTGGGTCTAATGTAGTTCAGTTTTAAGTTCTTTGAGAAATTGTCTGTGTTTCCACAATGGCTGAACTAATTTACATTCTCACCAACAGTGTGTGTTTCCTTTTTTCCACAACCTTGCCAGCATCTGTTATTTTTTGACCTTTTATAATAGCCACTCTGACTGGTGTGAGATGATATCTCATTATAGTTTGGATTTGCATTTATCTAATGATCAGTGATGTTGATTGCACGCACCTGCTACTACGCCCAGCTAATTTTTTTGTGTTTTTAGTAGAGACGGGGTTTCATCATGTTGGCCAGGCTGGTCTCAAACTTCTGACCTCAGGTGGTCCACCTGCCTTGGCCTCCCAAAGTGCCCAGCCAGCCAATGCGCCAGCCAGAACTCAGATTCTTGATAACTGAACCCAACAAAAACAAACCCACTGGAACAGTTGCAGTTTCAATATGAACGATTCCATTTTGTTTCTTAGATCTGTCTTCAGGTGTGTAAGAGTCCATCCTTAGTTCCTTACAAGCTTGCCTTTCTTTTTAAAGGATGCAGGTGGTATTTTAGCCAGAATTTCTAGGTGTTTTGTAAGAAGAGGTTTGCCATTTCTTTTTGCAGATTGTCTTTTCTGTAATTTTTCAAGAAAATGCAGTGTACAATTTTTTGAAAATTACATAAAAACTATAATTTTAAAAGAATAGACTCCTACTATAAAAATCTTATTTTAGTATATCCTCTATTCTTTGAAACTAAATTGTTTTTTCTGAAGAAGAAATGAACAGCAACATAACAAAATTTAAATCATGACAATTTCAGCAGTTTTAATGGTGCTTCATTCTTGGCAAAATGTTAGTAGTTATTACAATTTCAAATCACTTTAATAAATACCTTCCATGTGTTAGAAGACAACCTTATATTTTCAAAAACAATGCACATTTTCTTAATAATGATAATAATATATTTTAATAAATTTATTAAGCTATAACTGACACAGAATAATTTGTGCATATCTAAAGAAGATATAATTAAGTTTTGACATATGTATGCACCTGTGAAACCAGCATCATAATTAAGATAGTGAACATATTCACTACTCCTGAAAATTTCCGTGTGCCCCTTTGTAATACCTTTTTCCTGCCTGTGTCTAACACCTCAACCCTGTTTCTAGGCAATTACTCATGTGCTTACTGTCACTATGAATTCATGTGAACTTTCTAAAGTTTTATATAAGTTGACATAGTATGTACTCTTTTATGTCTGTCTTCTTTCCCTCAACATAATTATTTTGAGATTTATCCATGCTGTTATGTATATGAATAGTTATTTTTATTGATGAGTAGTATTCCATTGTACTGATATGTCCTACTTTGTTTGTCCATTCACCTGTTGATAGACATCTGTGTTGTTTCTAGTCTGGAGCTCTTATTAATGCAAATAAAACTTCTATGAATATTTCTGTATAAGTCTTTGTATGGACATATAGAGGTAATGAACATGCTCATTGGTTGTAGAATGTGAGAAAGAGAGATTTTTGGCCTGAGCAACAGAGATAATGTACAATCATGCATTGCTTAATGACAGGGATACATTCTAAACAATGCAACATTAGGCAACTTCATCATTATGGGAACATCATAGAGTGTACTTACGCAAACCTAGGTAGTATAGCTTACTACACACCTAGGCCACACACCTATTGCTCTTAGGCTACAAACCTACATAGCTTGTAACTGGACTGCATACTGTTAGCAGCTGTAACACAATGGTTAAGTATTTGTGTATCTAAACATATCTACATAATGAAGGGGCCCAATAAAATACAGTATTATAATCTTATTTGGACCGCCAATGTAAATTTCTGTTGTTCACCAAAATGTCATTCTGTGGCATATGACAATACTTGCCATGGATTATGAAGCAGAAAGTTGCAAGAATGACAGGTTTTGCTGCATTTAGGGTGTTGAGTATAATTCAGTAATTTAACTTTGGACAGTCTGAGTTTGAGGCACTAGTTAGAAATCTAGGTAGAGATGTGGAATAAGCTATTGGAAAACTGAGGCTGAAGTTCAAGGGTGAGGTCTATGCTTGAGATAGAAATTTGAGAGTTGTCAAAGTATATGTTACTTAAGGTTGTGATAGGCAGAATAATAGCATCCAAAGATATCTATTTCCTGGTTCCCGAAATCTGTGATTATATTATCTTATGTGGCAAAAGGGACTTTGCCAATGTGATTAAGTTAAATATTATGTGATGGGATTATTATCCTGAATTAATCACAAGGGTTCTTATAAGGGGAAGGCAGAAGGGTCAGTGTGGGGTTGGGGCCGGGCAGGAAAGAGAGAGAGAGACTTGAAGATGCTACACTGCTGGCAGTGAGGATGGAGGAAGGAACTATGAGCCAAGGAATGCAGGCAGCCTCTAGAAGATAGAAAAGGCAAGAAAACAGCTTCTCTCCTAGAGCATCCACTAGGAACCTAGCCTGCTAACACCTGGATTTTAGCCCAGTAAGTCTTCTGACCCTCAGAACTGTAAGATAACAAATTTATGTTGATATAAACCAGTAAGTTTGTAGTAATTTGTTACAGCAGCAATAAAAATTAATATAAAGCCATAAGATTGGATGACATCAGCTTATGGAGTGAATGACAACTGATATACATGTTTAAAATATGGCAGAAATACCTAAAAAGTACAAATATTGAAAATATTTACTATTTTAAAAGTGTCTATAGTTCCTCTTCTAGAACTCTTCTCAGCAAGTGAATGTCTAGGTACCTTCTCTTTCACAGAACACATATCTGTGAGACCATGCCATGCATGAATGTGATACAATTACAACATTGTCTTCTTTGGAACCTTGATTTCTATTTCCTGTGGATGCTTTATTTTTCACCCATGCTGTTTTAATGGCCAGTGTGTTCCAAAATGTGCTATTCCTGTTATTTGCCCTTTATCTATATTGCTGTGTTCCCTTTTGTCCCACTGGTTACAGAAGCTACATAGACTAAATTCAATTGTCACTTCAAATCACTTTCGGCCCTGTTGGGATGCAGATGAGGCAAGGTTTGCTTACTGTGACATTTTAGCCTTGGATCTAATTGTTTTTCTTTACTTCATCTCCAAGATTTTGAATTGTTGTATGTCTTGATCACTAGGTCCACTTCTTGGTCTCTAGCTGTTTGGATACTTTTCTGGCTTCTGGAAAATTACACCTTGTTGTTTGTCACTATACTGCCTTAACTTCTTGGTTCTTAGTTGTTGACCTGTTTCTAAGCATATATGCTCATCTTTGATTTGTCTTCCTGGTTTTGAGACTTTAGCTCATATCTTTTAGGTATCCACTGTTTCGTTTAGTCAGCACAACATGGCCACAGATAGTTCTAAATTAAAGAAATAAGATTTAGAGTTTAGACAATATATGCTCAGGGATCCCAGTGGCAAAGCCAGGTTTGAATTGCAAATCAGTCTGATGAAAAAGTCCATGTTCTTTGTTGTTACTATACTGCTTGGACTCTCTTACTCTCAGCCTTGTGACAGTTGACTTGCTTCTGACAACTTCTTTCCCTCAGGTAAACCAAGGAGGCCTTCATGCTTCATGTGTCAGTCCCAACCCAACTTCTCACTGCTGCTCTTCTGACAAATGAACATGATTCCGCTGTTACCTGCCTCTATCTGTATTTATGTTTTATAAGTTATTTACACATTTTAGCTAAAGACATTTAGAACATTTGAGTTTGCACTGATTATGTTTTTGACAATTGCATTTACTAGTAAACCTTCAGTTCTTCCTCTTGCTAACATAGTTGGAAGGAGGGTTCTTTTATTATTGAAATAACCAAAGTCCTTCACTCCATTGCTTGCAACTCCAAAATTTTACTTAACAAAAAACTATGTCATTAAGAATTGTCATAGTTTCAAAACGTTACCATTATGCCTAACAAACTTATTTCAGTGACTGCTCCACTCATTTGTTATATCTTACTTAACTCCATGTCAAAGACCAGGCTCTCCACTAAAGATAGAAACCCAAGAGGTGCAGAAGCTAGTGAGTCAGCAATACAGTCTCCCTCCCATCTCAGGAGCTTACTTGCAAGAGATGAAATGTGAAGCTTCTATAATAAAAAAGTAGCATCAGAATTGTTATTTTTATTCAACCTTTACATAACTTGAGTATTCTCAGTCTCCAAATCTAGGCTGTTTCTTCAGGCAGTGGCAGGCCTCCAAGGAGAGCTTTCACATGTCAGGAGTTCTGGTGGGTCTGAATAATGTCTCTTGAGGTTGTTTCTGATTTCCTCAATGGGCCCCTGTTGACCTCACTATGAAACCTGGGGAAAAGTAGGGCTCTGTATGAGGCAGGTAAATGCTCAGAGCTCTTGGGAAGGGGCCAGCATTAATGATGATTATGTAGCAGGTTGAAAGTGATCTTTGGGCTCTTTTCCATGTCAGGAATGCCTCAAACACAGCTGATGTGGGAGGCTCTGCAGACCCCAGAAGCACCACTCGTGTTTTAAGGGGAGTAAACTCCTTTTCACACTACCTCTGCCGTAAGGACACACAAAGATGAATGGCCAGCCTGAATGACAGGGCTGCTTCTCTCTGCAAGCTGCATACAGAACGCTTTGTGTTCATGACGATTGCAATACTTCCCTTCTGGCAGAGGGAAGCTGGCTTCTCTAGAGCTGCGGAAAGTAACGCTTGTTTCTGAATTGGTTAGAGTTCAATCTCAATTATGTCTGGAAACAACACACACTCCTTTCCCCCTTCTGTATGACTGCAGTGTTAATTTCAAGTGAACTTGTGCAAGTTACTTTAAAGTTGAAATAGCCACACAACACTGACATTTATTGGGCACTCCCTTTGGAGCCTTCCTGGCAGCATGGCCACAGAAGGTGTTGCCTCTACGCCAGGGGTTTGGAGCCTCACTCTTTCCAGTCTTCATGTCCCACCCTACAGCAAGGCTGGAAGAGATTATTTGCACAGGATCACATTCAATTCTGCCTCTCCTCCACCCACACAAAGCCTAATTTCAACTTTTCCCCAAGTGGTATGAAGCTGGAACCCCAGATCAAGTCCAAGAAAGAAAAAAAAGATATTATAATTTAATTTGCTTGCCATTTAAAAGGCATTTTTATTATGCAGATGGCTGGATTCTTGGATTTTCATGAGGTAGTACGCTTACCAGCATTAACATAACTCTAATTTGTTCTACCTTTATTGTTTTTTAAAAGCCTTAGTATTTCAGCTGACCATGTTTCTGAATTCCTTTATGCCCCTCTAAAACATACTTTATATAAACCTTGATCTGATGAAGAAATGCATGTAATATTTTAAAAAGGCACACAGCACAACAGTCATGAGTTGCACCTGTTTTTAGTATCTGCACATACTCAGCCAGGGCGTGTCATTGAATCAGCCCCTGCAGCTGTTGTTTTGCCATTAAAAAAATACTACTCTATTCATGTAGGTTTAAGCTTTGTGAACTCTAACTTGGACTTGTTAAAGGAAGGTTCTAAGACTCTGTCTGGACTGCTGATAATAGGTTAGATAAAGATCCAACATTAGCCCTCACACAATTACATTTACAGGAATGGGAGGAAATCTCTCAAACAATATAGAGTCCAGAAGACAGCAGATGTGGACCTTGCAAAATTAATGATTAACTGCATGCCAGTGTGTTTGTCAGGGAACAGTGCTGCTCTTTAAGGGCTTATATAGTCTATGAAAGAAATTAGCTCATGAGAGGACTCATAAGGACAAAAGAAAAAAACTTAAGTAGAGGCTTGACATATCCTGCTTTTCTCACAGGGCAAAAAGTTAAACATAAAGCTCTCCTTTTAATAGTGTGAAGTTCTGACTCTGAAGCTGAGGCAGATCATCCACTTGTTAAAACAAGATATGAACATTCTTGTTATTCCTTAAAGGGGGGAGGGAATAGCGTGCACTCAGAATGAACTCTAAATGTACTAGAAAGAAGGGGGAAATTATTGAACAATTATCCTAGACGTTGAAGACTGAAACCAAAAATTATTATAGGAGTGACAGGAAAGTAGTAAATAAGACTAGATGTTCATAATTTGTTATCCCCTTTGATTATATGGGCTTTGAAATGCCCAGAAAGTCTAATCAAAATTCACAGGTAAAACTGGAGATGAGTATGAGTTAAGTACTAGTAGGCTTGTAATTGATTAAAGATGTGTTGCAAGGAACACAATCTTCTAAAATATCTAGTTAAAATGAATTTTATAAGAATGATAATTTCTTCACATGACCTAAATTCCCTTTTAAAAATCCCAATTATGGTTCAGCAGATTAAAGATAGTAGAAATCCAGGAATTGCTAAGACAAATATAAATCGTGTAATGTTCATTTGGCTGAAGAACTGCTGGGATCCCAATTCCTTGCCAGCCCTGCAGACCCTCCAGAATGCATTTGCTTACTTGAGCCAGCACATCTTTGTAATGACAAGGTTCAATCCATAAGCCTGGAATGACTGTTCACAGTCTGGTAATTTATTTTATTTATTTTTATTTTTTAGGGAGGAGTAAGTTCAGTAGAATTAGGAAGAGAGAGATTGGAATTAGCAGTAGGAGAATATTCTAAAAGGAACTAATAAAAGAGGAGGAGATGCTTTGATTTTTTGCCTTACATCCAGGTTCTTCTATCAAGTTTCTAAACTTGTTCTTCTAACAAGTTTAGATGCCATCCTCCTGCCCCCCATCCTGATTCTTCCATCTAGAGATGCTGGCTTGTTCGCTGGTTCTCCATATGTGTTATCTTTATAATTACTATCTACCTCCTGAAATTAACCATTCCAATATGCATTACTATTTTTCTTTTTTGAATTTAATTTACTTTTGTCTTTATTATGTTGTTGTACTAGTACATTCTCTTACGCTAATTATTTTTGTTTCTTTTGCAACATATTTTAAGTTTCTTGGGGACTGAAAAGAGTTCCTTGTGCATTCCCTGAGAGCTATCTGGCAGGAACTAGACATGATGAAATCAATGATTAAATAAAGCTGAAGAACATGTGTTTTATTACATTTAATTACATTTACATTATTTCTCCTTGCAATGTTAGCTGGTGTAGTCTGCTTTGTATAACAATAAAATGGCCACATTGTGGCTTCTGAGACTACTCCTCTTCCTACCAAATCTCATTTCCTCTGGCTCCCTGACTTTGGTCCTGAGATTGTTCCTGCCTCCCCAGGTTTCTTGCCTTCCCTCACTACCTGAGCCAGTGTCAGAAGACATGGGATTGGACACTGCTTTTAAATAATATACATGTGGTCTCCTTTCTTTGTGTTTATAATTGATAGCTGTCTTTATAGTATCTGAATGTGAAAAGAGATGCAGTATGGGTGATATGGTTTGGCTCTGTGGCACCACCCAAATCTCACCTTAAATTGTAATAATCCCCATGTGTCGTGGGAGGGACCCAGTGGGTGGTAATTGAATCATGGGGCTGGGTTTTTCCCATGCCATTCTCATGATAGTGAATAAGTCTCACGAGATCTGATGGTTTTATATAAGGGAGTTCCCCTGCACACGCTCTCTTGCCAGCTGCCATATAGGACATAATTTTGCTCTTTATTTCTGATAGCACATCTGCCAAAATACCATAGTCATGAATATAGGAGATGGCCAGTAGATGCCGTGAGGGGTTGGAAAACTAGAATTTCATATCTGGAAAAGTGATTTCTAGATTTTGGAACTTTATCATCTAGTAAATTTTTGAAAATTGGGGTATGGAGTTTAAAAGTATTTCATTTTTTCAAGTAAGAATGTTAAGAAAATCAACAAAAATAATAACTGTTTCACATTGTTCTTTAATAATTTTTATTAGAATTAAAATTCAATATATCTCACTTTCTGGAAAAAATCACATTATCTTCATTTTTCTTATTTTTCTAAGGACTCTGGGAACTTCATGATGGACCACCACTAGTTCATGTTTTAGCATTAGGAACTTCTGGCCTAGAGCAAGCGGAAGAGACTTAAACTCAAGTTCCCTTTTGTCACCTTGCTGGCTGGGAGAGTGGGCCCTATTTTGTCTAGAGAGTCTTTCCCATGATCTCTTACTGAATAGGTGAAGAGAAAATCCTCAGGAGAGACTTGGGAAGAGAAAGGGCTCAAACACAAGCAAGGAAAAGTAGGAGAGCCTGTAAGAGAGCCCAAGGTATAGCTTGAATATCTCACATTTCTGAATCTGTTGGGAAAAGCTGGGGAGACTCTTGCAGCACCAGTTGTTGAGATAAGACTTTATCCCATCTGAGATATGTACACTCAGTTCTGCTATAGTGTGACATATGTTTTTGCTGGATCAAATGGAAGTTCTATTTTTAGTTATATGAGAAATATCCAGATTTATTTTCCATAGAGGTTGTGTTTACATTCCCACCAACAGTGTATAAACATACCTTTATTTTCTCTGCATCCACATCAACATCTGTTGTTTTTTTACTTTTTAATTATAGCCATTCTGACTGGCATAAGATGATATCTCATGGTTTTAATTTGCAATTCTATCATGATTAGTGATGTTGAGCATTTTCTCAGATGTTTATTGGCCACTTGTATGTCTTCTTTTGAGAAATGTCTTTGCCCAATTTATGTATTTTATTATATTATATATTTTTTGAGACAGAGTCTCACTGTCACTCAGGCTGGAGTGCAATGGTGTGGTCTCAGCTCACTACAACCTCCACCTCCGGGGTTCGAGTGATTCTCCTGCCTCAGCCTCCCGAGTAGCTGGGACCACAGGTGCATGCCACCACACCCAGCTAATTTTTGTATTTTTAGTAGAGATGGGGTTTCATTATGTTGGCCAGGTTAGTCTTGAACTCCTGACCTTGTGATCCGCCAGCCTTGGCCTCCCGAAGTGCTGAGATTACAGGCGTGAGCCCTTTTACCCAATTTTTAATGAGTTCGTTTGTTTTTTTCTCATTGAGTTGCCTGAATTCCTTGTAGATTCTGCATAGTACGCCTTTTTTGGATGTATAATTTGTAAATATTTTCTCTCATGGGAACTTCGGTTTACCATATCCAGCCTACTGTTGATGGGCATTTAGGTTGATTCCATGTCTTTGCTATAATGGATAGTGCTGTATGTTGTCTGTTTATGATTTTGATTTTTTATTCTGCTGTGCAGAAATTTTTAAGTCCTATTTGTCTATTTTTGTTTTTGTCAGATTTGCTTTTGGAGTCTTAGTCATAAATTCTTTGCCTAGGCCAATGTCCAGAAGAGTTTTTCCTACATTTTCTTCTAGGACATTTTTAGTTTTAGGTCTTAAATTCAAGTCTTTAATCTATCTTGAGTTAATTTTTTTATATGGTGAGAAATAAGAGTCTAGTTTCATTCTTCTGCATGTGGCTAGCCAATTTTCCCAGAAATATTTATTGAATAGAATGTCCTTTCTCCATTTTAAATTTTTATCAACCTTGTCAAAAATCGGTTGTAGGTTTTTTGGCTTTATTTTTGTGTTATCTATTTGTTCCATGGGCCTATGTGTCTATTTCTGTACCAGTACCATGCTGTTTTAGTTACTATGGCCTTGTAGTATAATTTGAAGTCAGGTAATGTGATGCCTCCAGCTTTGTACTTTTTGCTTAGGATTGCTTTGGCTATTCGGGCTATTTTTTGTTTCCATGTGAACTTCAGGATTATTTTTTTAATTCTGTGAAAAATGTTGGTAGTGTGATAGGAATTGCATTGGATCTGTAGATTGCTTTGGGCAGTATGACCATTTTAATAGTATTGATTCTTCTAACCCTTGACCATGGAATGCTTTCCCATTTGTGTCATCTATGATTTTTTAAAAATCAGTGTTTTGTGGTTCTCTTTGTAGATATCTTTTACTTTCTTGCTTAAATGCACTTCTAGTATTTTTGTGGCTATTGTACATGGGATTGTGTTCTTGATTTAGTTCTCAGTTTGAATGTTATTGATGTACAGAAATGCCATACATTTTTGTTCATCCATTTTATATCTTGAAACTTTATTGAAGTCATTATCAAGTCCAGGAGTTTTGGGAGGAGTCTGTTGGGTTTCCCAGGCATAAGATCATGTTATCAGTGAACAAGAATAATCTGATTTCTCTTTTCCAATTTGGATGCCTTTTATTTCTTTCTCTTCCCTGATTATTCTGGCTAGGACTTCCGGTACTATGATGAAAAGGAGTGGTAAAAGTGGACACTTTGTCTTTTTCCAGTTCTTAGGGGGAATGCTTTCAACTTTTCCCTGTTCATTATGATGTTGGCTGTGTATCTGTCATAGGTGGCTCCTATTATTTTGAGATATGTTCTTTCAATGCCTAGTTTGTTAAGGATTTTTTATCATAAAGTGATGCTGGATTTTATCAAATGACTTTTCTGCATCTATTAAGAAGATCATATGGTTTTTTAAAATACTCTTTATGTGTGAATCATATTTATTGATTTTAGAATGTTGAACCATCCTTGCATCCCTGGCATAAAACCCACTCGAGTGTCATAAACTATCTTTTTGATGTGCTTTTGGATTCAGTTTGCTACTATTTTGTTTGCTAGTATTTTTGCATCTATGATCTTCAGAAATATTGGCCTGTGAGTTTTCTTTTTTGTTGTGTCCTTGGCTGATTTTGGTATCAAGCTGATACTGATTTTGTAGAATGAGTTATAGAGAAATCCCTCCTCCTTGATTGTTTGCAATAGTTTCAGTAAGATTGGTAAGCTATTGTTTTTACATGTTCAGGTTTGTTATATAGGTAAATCGTGTGTTGTGGGAGTTTGGTGTGCACATTAGTTAGCCAGGTAATAAGCATAGTACCTGATAGGTATTTCTTTTATCCTCTCCCTCCACCTAACCTCCACCTTCAAGTAAGCCCTAGTGTCTGCAGTTCCCCTATTTGTGTCCAGTGGTATCATTGTTTAGCTCCACTTATAAGTGAGAACATAATAGTATTTGGTTTTAGTTCCTGCATTTGTTTGCTTAGGATAACAGTCTCTAGCTCCATCCATGTTGCTGCAAAGGACATGGTCCCATATTTTTATGGTTTTATGATATTCCACGATGTAAATGTACCACATTTTCTTTATCCAGTCTACCATTGATGGGTATTTAGATTGATTCCATGTCTTTTCTAATGTGAATAGTGTTGCAATAAACATATTCATGCATGTGTCTTTATAATAGACTATATTATATTCCTTTGGGAATATACCCAGTAATGTAATTGCTGGGTTGACTGGTAATTCTGTTTTAAGTTCTTTG
This sequence comes from Homo sapiens, assembly GCF_000001405.40. Taxonomy (NCBI): domain Eukaryota; kingdom Metazoa; phylum Chordata; class Mammalia; order Primates; family Hominidae; genus Homo; species Homo sapiens. The sequence continues at coordinate 79,730,272 of NC_000013.11, forward strand.
AGAAATCACCACACTGCTTTCCACAATGGCTGAACTAATTTACATACCCATCAGCAGTATATAAGTGTTCCCTTTTCTCTGCCACTTTGCCAGCATCTGTTATTGTTTGACTTTTTTTATAACAACCATTCTGACTGGTGTGAGATGACATCTCATTGTGGTTTTGATTTGCACTTCTGTAATGATTAGTGAGGTTGAGCATTTTTTGCATATGTTTCTTGGCTGCTTGTATGTTTTCTTTTGAAAAGTGTTCATGTCCTTTGCATACTTTTTAATGGAGTTGTTTGTTTTATGCTTGTAAATTTAAGTTTTCTATAGATTCTGGTATTAAACCTTTGTTGGATGCATGGTTTGCAAATATTTTCTCTCATACTGTAGGTTGTCTCTTTACTCTGTTAGTAGTTTCTTTTGCTGTGCAGAAGCTCTATAGTTTAATTAGGCCCCATTTGTCAATTTTTGTTTTGGTTACAATTGCTTTTGGCATCTTCATCACGAAATATTTTCCAGGCTTTATATCCAGAATGATATTTTGTAGTTTTTTTCTAGGGTTTTAAAAATAATTTTGCATTTTATATTTAGGTCTTTAATCCATCTTGATTTGATTTCTGTATATGGTGTAAGGAAAGGGTCCAGTTTCAATCTTTTGCATATGGTTTGCCAGTGATCTCAGCACCATTTATTGAATAAGGAGTTCTTTCCCTATTTCTTGTTTTTGTTGCCTTTGTCAAAGATCAGATGGTTTTAGGTGTGTGGCTTTGTTTCTGTGTTCTCTATTCTGTTCCATTGGTCTATGTGTTTGTTTGTTTGTTTGTTTTACCAATACCATGCTGTTTGGGTTTCTGTAGCCTTATAGAATAGTTTGAAGTTGAGTAACGTGATGCTTCCAGCTTTGTTCTTTTTGCTTAGGATTGCTTTGGTTATTTGGGCTCTTTTTTGGTTCCATGTGAATTTGAAAATTGCTTTTTTTTCTAATTCTGTGAAGAATGTCTTTGGTAGTTTGATAAAAATACCATTGAATCATTAAACTGCTTTGGGACTACGGCCATTTTAATGATATTGATTCTTCCCATTCATGAGGATGGAATGTTCTTCCATTTGTTTTTGTCATGTCTGATTTCTTTGAGCAGTGTTTTATAATTCTTGTTGTAGAGATCTTTCACCTCCCTGGTTAGCTGTATTCCTAGGTATTTTATTTTTCTGTGGCAATTGTGAATGGTATTGTGTTCCTGATTTGGCTCTCAGCTTGCATGTTTTTCATGTTAGAAATGCTAGTGAGTTTTGTACATTGATTTTGTACCCAGAAACTTTGCTGAAGGTGTTTATCAGATCAAGGAGCTTTTGGGCAGAGACTCTGGAGTTTTCTAGGTATAGAATCATGTCATCTGCAAACAGGGATAGTTTGACTTCATCTCTTCCTATTTGGATGCCTTTTATTTCATTTTCTTGCCTGGTTGCTTTGGGTAGGACTTCCAGTACTATGATGAATAGGAGTGGTGAGAGAGGGTATCGTTGTTTTGTGGTGGCTTTAAAGGACAATGCTTCCAACTTTCACCATTCAGTATGATGTTGGCTGTGGGTTTATCATAGATGGCTCTTATTATTTTGAAGTATGTTTCTTCAATGACTAGTTTACTGAGGGTTTTTAACATGAAGTGATGTTAAGTTTATTAAAAGCCTTTTCTACATCTATTGAGGTGATCATGTGGTTTTTGTCTTTAGTTCTGTTTATGTGATGAGTCACATTGATTGATTTTTGTATGTTGAACCAACATTGCATCCCATGAATGAAGCCTATATGGATCGAGGTGGATTAGCTTTTTGATGTACTGCAGGATTTGGTTTGCTAGTATTTTGTTGAAATTTTTGCATCTATGTTCATCAGGAATATTGGCCTGAAGTTTTCTTTTATTGTTGTTGTGTCTCTGCCAGGTTTTGGTATCAGGATGACAGTGGCCTCACAGAACAAGGTGGGAAGCAGTCCCTCCTTCTCAATTTCTTGGAATAGTTTCATTAGGATCAATAACAGCTCTTCTCTGTACAGCTGATAGAATTTGGCTGTGAGTCTGGCACTGGGCTTTTTGTGGTTGGTAGACTTATTTTATTACTGATTCAATTTTGGAACTCATTATTAGTCTGCTCAGGGATTCAATTTCTGCCTCGTTCGGTATTGGGGTATTGTATTGTCTAGAAATTTATCAATTTCTTGTAGGTTTTCTAGTTTGTGCACATAAAAGTGTTCATCTTAGTTTCTGAGTGTTTTTTTATTTCTCTGGGGTCAATTTTAAGGGCTCCTTTGTCATTTCTAATTGTGTGTATTTAGATCTTCTCTGTTTTTTACTTCATTAGTCTATCTTTTAAATTTTTTTCAAAGAAACAGCTGGATTTGGTGACCTTTTGTATTTTTGGTGTCTCAATTTCCTTCAGTTCAGCTCTGATTTTGGATATTTCTTGTCTTTTGCTGACTTTGTGGTTGGTTTGCTCTTGCTTCTTAGTTCCTCTCATTGTGATATTAGGTTTTTAATTTGAGATCTGACTTTTTGATATGGGCATTTAGTACTATAAACTTCCCTCTTATCATGGCCTTAGCTGTGTCTCAGAGATTCTTGTATGTTGTATCTTTGTTCTCATTAATTTCAATGATCTTGATTTCTGCCTTAATTTCATTATTTACCTAAAAGTCATTCAGGAGCAGGTTGTTTAATTTCCATGTAATTGTATGGTTTTGAGTGATTTTCTTAGTGTTGATTTGTAATTTTATTATATTGTGGCCCGAGAGTGTTGTTGGTATGATTTGGGTTTTTTTTTTTTAATTTGCTGAAAATTGTTTTATGTTAAATTGTATGGTCAATATTAGAGTATGTGCAATGTGGTAATGGGAAGAATGTATATTCTGTTGTTTTTAGATGGAGAGTTCTGTGGATGTTTATTAGGTCTATTTGGTCAAGTGTTGAGTTCAGGTCCTGCATATCTTTGTTAATTTTCTGCTTAGATGATCTTTCTAATACTGTCAGTGGGATGTTGATATGTCCCACTATTAATGTGTGGGAATCTAAGTCTCTTTAAAAGTCTCTAAGAGCTTGCATTATTTATTTGGGTGCTCCTGTGTTGGGTGCATATATATTTTGGATAGTTAGATCTTCTTGTTGAATTGATCTCTTTACCAATATGTAATGCCCTTCTTTGTCTTTTTTGATGTTTGCTGGTTTAAAGTCTGTTTTTTCTGAAATTAGGATAGCAATCTCTGCTTTTTTCTGTTATTCATTTGCTTGGTAGATTTCCCCCATCCCTTTATTTTGAGCCTATAGGTGTCATTACATGTGAGTTGGGTCTCCTGAAGACAGTGTACCATTAGGTCTTGGTTCTTTATCCAGCTTGCCACTCTGTGCCTTTTAAATGGGACATGTAGCCCATTTACATTCAAGGTTAGTAATGATATGTGTGGATTTGATCCTGTCATTGTGTCATTAGCTCATTAGCTGGTTATTATGCAGACTTGTTTGTGTGGTTGGTTTATACTTTCACTGGCCTGTGTACTTAAGTGTGTGTGTGTGGTTTTGTTTTTTTTTTTTTTTTGAGATGGAGTTTTGCTCTTTTTGACCAGGCTGGAGGGAAATGGTGCAATCTCTGCTCACCTCCTGGGTTCAAGCAATTCTCCTGCCTCAGCCTCCTGAGTAGCTGGGATTACAGGTGCCGGCCACCACACCCAGCTGATTTTTGTCTTTTTAATAGAGATGGGGTTTCTCCATGTTGGTCAGGCTGGTCTCGAATTCCCGACCTCAGATGATCCACCTGCCTCAGCCTCCCAAAGTGCCAGGATTACAGGCATGAGCCACCGTGCCAGCTTTGTGTTTTTATAGTGGCTGGTAATGGTCTTTCCATATTTAGTGCTCCTTTCAGGACTTCTTGTAAGGCAAGTCAGGTGATAATGAATTCCCTCATCATCTGCTTGTCTGAAAAAGATCTTCTTTCTCTTTCACTTATGAAGCTTAGTTTAGCTGGATGTGAAATTTTGGGTTGGAAGTTATTTTAAGAATGTTAAATATAGGCCCCCAATTTCTTATGGCTTGTATAGTTTCTTCTGAAAGGTCTGCTGTTAGCCTGATGAGGTTCCCCTTTTAGATGACCTGTCCTTTCTCTTTAGCTGCCTTTAACATTTTTTATTTTGACTTTGGCAAATCTGATGATTATGTGTCTTGGGGATGGCCATCTTCTGTAGTATCTGGCAGGGGTTCTCTGCATTTTCTGAATTTGAATGTTGACCTCTGTAGCAAGGTTGGTGAAGTTTTCATGGATGATATCCTGAAATATGTTTTGTAAATTGCTTGCTTTCTCCTGTCTCTTTCAGGGACACCAATGAGTCATAGTTTTATTTCTCTTTACATAATCCCACATTTCTCAGAGGTTTTGTTTATCTTTTTTTCTTTATTTTTGTCTGACTGAGTTATTTCAGAAAGCCAGTGTTCAAGCCCTGAGATTCCTTCCTCAACTTGGTCTATTCTGCTGTTAATACTTGTAATTGCATTATGAAATTCTTGTAGTGTGTTTTTCAGCTCTATCAAATCAGTTTGGTTCTCTTTTTTATAATGGATATTTTATCTATCAGCTCTTGTATTGTTTCATTGTAATCCTTAGGTTAGGTGTCAACTTTCTTCTGTATCTCAATGATCTCTATTCCTATCTTCTGAATTTTATTTCTGTAATTTCAGCCATTTTAGCCCAGTTAAGAACACTTGCCAGGGAACTAGCATGGTCATTTGGAGAAAATAAGCCATTCTGGCTTTTTGAGTTGCCAGAGTTTTTGCACTGGTTCTTTGTCATCTGTGTGAGCTGGTGTTCCTTTAACTGCAGGGTAATTTGAGTACAGTCAGTAGACTTCTTTTCAGGATATTTTCAGAGGGCTTTGTGCAGGGTCTTTGTAGCTGAATTCTTGTCCTTGATTTCATACTGGGGTATAGCAAAGTATTTTTGGTGTTGAAGTTTTCATCTGTGATCCAGTAGGTGACACTTAGGTGAAATGGCCAGTAGGTAGGCTTTTGCTCAGTCACATGGCTCCTCTGCATTTCTTTATGATTGCAGCTGTACTCCCTCTTAGTGCTCTGAAAGTGTGGGCTCTTCTCCCACTTGAGTGCTGGCTGCAGATCTCAGCTTGGCATTCCTGGGCTGTATTCCTGACCACAGCTCTGGGATGAGCTCAGGCTTTATGTTCTCTCTCCAACCTTGAGGCAGAGGGGAAGGAAACTTAGCAGAGATTGGTGTCAGAGAGCCTTTCACTTGTCTCTTAGGGCTCCACACCAGAGAGATGTGGAGCCACTGTCAATCAGTGCAATCAGCCTGGTATGGGATGGCTGCACTGTGGACCCAAGCTGGGTCAGGGGTTCTTGTTAATAAATGATGGGGCATGTGGATCATAAGGGAGAGACTGGCCTCTTTTCCTTAGGGCACCTGCAGCTTGTTGGAGGTATGGTTAAAACACTCAGGGTCTTTGCCCCTTCTCAGTACCAAGGCATCAAGGAAAGTACTGCTGCAGCAACAGTGGAAGAAGGGCTTTCAGTTACCTCTGGGAGCTCCACCTCAGAGAAATGTGGAGCCATTGCTACTGGGAATGTTCAATAGCAATGCCTCCTGAATGGTGGCCTGAGCTGGGGGCTTTGCTTGTTGAGGAGCAAAGTGTCAAGGGCTCACAGGGAGGAGAGACTTAGCTCCTCTCATAGGGTGACTATGGCATGCTAGGAGTGCATGTGAAGTCCATAGGCTCTTTGTATCTTCCCCAGCCCAGTGGCAGCAGGGACACAATCGCTGCTGTGATTATGGCAGAGGAGCTGTTTGTTGGCTCTGGGAACCCCTCCCCAGGAAAACTCAGAGCCACTATTGGTAGGTGTGCTCAGTCATGGATGGGGTGGCAGATCTGTGGTCATGAGCTGGGGGTCCTGCCTGGTGAAGGGTGGATGGGGGTACTCACAGGGAAGAGATACTGGATTCCTCTCCATATGGTGGCTGCAGTGTGCTGGAGGTGACAATGCAGTGACTAGGCCCTTTTTCCTTCCCCAGCCTGAGGGCAGTTAGAGTGGTACCACTGCAGCTCCAATGGTGAGGGCTTGTGGATTGTATCTGGGATTTCCTCCTCAGAGAACTGCATAGCCATCTTCAACTGATGTGTTCAAGTGGGGGTAGGGTAGTTTTGCTGGAGTCCCAGGTCAGGAGGCCCCACCCAGTAAGGAGAAGTGGATTGGGGACCTGTGTAGAAAGTGGTCTGGCCACTTTTTCTGTGGGATGGCTGCATTGTGCTGGGAATCCACACCTGCCCTTAGTCATCATGCACCCTCCAGAGCCTGAAGGCAACAATGACAAAGATTGTGAGACAGCAGAAATTGTAGCTTGCCTTTCCCTGTTAGAGCTCGGTCCTAGGGAAGTGCAGGGCTGCTACCAGCTGGAAAGCCCTGTCAGGGGTGGCTGGAGTTTTGGGTTGGGAGGTCCCACCCAGTGAGGAGAAGCACTTAAAAAACAGCCTGGCCACTTTTCTGGGGGGTGGTTGTGTTGCTCTGGGAATCCGTAGCTGTCCCTAGTCACCGTGCACCCTTCAGAACCTGAAGGCAACAGCAATGAGGGCTGAATGACAGCAAAAAATGGAAGTTTGCCTTTTCCTGTTGGAGCTCCATCTCAGGAACGTGCATAGCTGCTACTGGCCTGAGAACCCTAGTTGGGAGTGGTTGGAGTCCCAGGTTAGTGGGCTTTATTCTGTAAGGTGCAGTAGGGGTGAGGCCTGAAGTTCATTGCTGATCATGGATTTGGCCTCTTTCTTGGGAGTGTGTGAGGGAGCCTGACCTCCACTCTTGCTGGAGCTGTAGCCACTAATGCTGGGATGCCCAGGGGTCCAAGGCTCCCATGACTCTGCATGTGGCTTAGTGGTGGCCCTGCCCAGACTTCATATAGTTCCGTGAGACAGTCTGAAGGTACCAGTGGGATGGGCTCACAAAGGGATCTACTGAGCCCAGGGTTGCAAAGGTCCACAGAAGAAGTATGGGTCCCTGAGGGCTCTCACTCACTCAACACTTCTCCACAGTAGGGAAGCCTGCCCTGGCTTTGTGCCACTTCCAGGTGGGTAGTCAGCCTGTCTCACTCCTCTCCATTCTCTATGGGTCAAGTTCTTTTCTTGATGAATCCCAATATGTCTACCTGGATGTTTCAGTTGAAGATCTAGCGTTTATGTGCCAGTTTTTATTCTCTCTGTGGGAGCGGTGTACACTAGCTGCTTCTAGTCAGCCATGTTGGCCCTAGCTTTTTCTCGTTTCTTCTTGGTTAAACTAGCTAGTGGTCTATAAATTTCTCTTTTATTTTTAATTCTTTCAAAGAGACAGCTTTTCATTTTGTTCATCCTTTGTATCCTTTTTTTGGTCTCAATCTCATTTAGCTCTGTGCTGATTTTTATTTCTTGTCTTATGCTAGCTTTGGGTTTGGTTCGTTCTTGTTTATCTTGTTCATAGAGGCATGACAATAGGTTTTTAATTTTAGATCTTTCTGTCTTTTTGATGTAGTCATTTAATACTGTGGCCTTTCCTCTTTGCACTGCTTTTGCTGTATCTCAGACATTTTGGTAAGTGTGTCTCTAGTTTCATTCATTTCTAATTTTTTTTAATTTCTGACTTGATTTTGTTGTTTACTCAAAAGTCATTCAGGAACAATTTGTTTAGTTTCCATGTACTTGTGTAGTTTTTAGAGCTTCTCTTGGTATTAATTTTTAATTTTATTCCACTACGGCCTGAGAAGATAATCAATATGATTTTGATTTTTTTGAATTTATTGAGATTTTCTTTATAGCCAAGCATGTGGTCAATTTTACAGAATGTTCCATGTGCAGATAAAAAAGATATATATTCTACAGTTGTTACGTACAATATTCTATAAATGTCTATTAGAACTATTTGGTCTATAGTACAGTTTATGTCCAGAATTTCTTTGCTGACTTTCTGCCTTAATGGCCTATTACTGTCATTGGGGTGGGGAAGTCCTTCACTATTATTGTATTGCTTTCAATCTCTCTTCTTAGATCTAGTAGTATTTGTTTTATGAATCTGGATTTTGGGTGTGTATACATTTAGGATAGTTAAATCTTCATGTACTGAACCCTTTATCATTGTATACTGTTCTGCATCTTTTTTTTTTTTTTTTTTTTTTTTTTTTTTTTTTTTTTTTTTTTACTGTTATTGGCTTAAAGTTTGTTTTATCTCATATAAGAACGGCCACTTCTGCTCACTTTTATTTTCAATTTGTGTGATATGTCTTTTTTTATTCTTTTACTTTGAATTAGGTGTCTTTAGCCATTAGATGGGTCTCTTGTAGCAGAAGATTTTCTTTTTTAAAAAATCCTATCTATAGGATTTGCCAGTCCATATCTTTTAAGTGGGGCATTTAGACCATTTATGTTCAAGGTTAATATTGATATTTGAGGGTGTTTTTCCTGTCATTATGTTGTTAGCTAGTTGCCTCGGATTCTGAATTGCCTAATTGTTTTATAGAATCTGTGAGCTTTCCCACTTTTTTTTTTTTTAGATGAAGTGTTACTCTGTCACCCAGGCTACAGTGCAATGGTGCAGTCTCAGCTCACTGCAACCTCCACCTCCCGGGTTCAAGCAATTCTCCTGCCTTAGCCTCCCAAGTAGCTGGGATTACAGGCGCCTGTCACCACGCCCAGCTAATTTTTGTATTTTTAGTAGAGACAGGGTTTCACCATCTTGGTCAGGCTGGTCTCGAACTCCTGACCTCAGGTGATCCACGTGCCTTGGCCTCCCAAAGTGCTGGTATTACAGGTGTAAGCCACCATGCCTGGCCCACTTTCCTACTTTTTTCTACTCTGATTGACAGCATGTTCTCCTGAATGATACTCTGATTTCAAGGACATTAACTTATAATTTATTTAAATAAGGCCAGTCAAGGGTTATGGCTGTTCTCAAAAATTAGGGACCAGCACTGTTCCATAAATGGAAAAAAAATGTTAATCCCATTAAAATGGGATCTCAATGATTGAAACAAGTAAGGCTGCAAATCAGAATGATTAATTATGAGAAAACAAAACAAAAGAATCTGAGTATTCTACTTATGTGTATTTTTATGATGGTAAGTGTTGTCTTTTCATTTCCATGTTTAGAATACCTTTGAGCATTTCTTCTAGGTCCAGTCTACTGGTAGTGAATTCTCTTAGTGTTTGCTTATCTGGGATACATATTAATACATTTTAAACAACAGCAAGTTCAGCAAACAAGGGATGTAACTTCAAACCTAAGGAAACTCTTTGCCTGTATGCAAACCAGACATTAAATTTAGACTCTGACTCTTGGTATCTAGAAAGAATAGTCTTATACCCCTAATTCCATAGCCTGGGGAAGTCTAAGCCTCCCAAGATTTCCATGGGCCTCCTAGTTTCTGGGCTCCTAAATTCTCAATTTTTTAAATCCATTGACCCAGATGTGAAATTCAACAGCCCCAAAGAATAAGCTCATAAAAAGAATTGGCTTCCCCTTGAGTTTTGTCAATGGGGTGGGGGGCACCAGTGGAAAGAGGGAAGGGTGTGTGTGTTCCATGTTCTAAGCCCCCAGCTTCCTTTCTGTGGTCACCATGGGCTGACCATGTCCCAGACAGAAGGTCATAGCTTCCGAAAGATGGTCTTCATTGCACAGTTCACTGATAACCACCACCTCCTCTGCAACTTTGTATCAGGATAGTAATATATTTCCACAGGAATTAGCCCTGGAAGTATTTTGTGGCTTCCTTGCACCTTCCTCATAGATTTGTTAAATTCTCCAAGTTCCAACTTGTAAGTGCCATCTATTTTTTGCTGCAGCCATGATTAGAGTATCTGGATACGAATTTTGCTTCTATTACTTAGAGTTTAACCTTAAGCAAGTTACTTAAACTGCCTGGTTTCAGTGACATCATCTATAAAATGGAGGTTTATTGTAAGAGTTTAAGTTTGCTCTTAAAGTTAGATGAGATTATATAGGTAGACAGAGATCAGTATAGTACAAAGAATATAATAAATAGTGAATTGAAGCAATAACTATTGTAATTGTTACTTTTTTATTACAGTTGCTCCTTTCTCATTGTTTCTAGTTAAATCTGAGTAACAACTAACCTTGTTTGGGCAATAATCTGAAGTTTCAACTTAAGATGGCTGAAATGTCACTTTCTTTCAGATTTAAATAGCTTCATAAAGTTTATTTGAGGCCACCATCTTATAATAAAAGTTAAGCATTGATTATGAAAAGAATGACATAGAATACCCTCGCACTGAGAGATATATCTTTGGCCTACCTCCCATAAATGTGTCATGCTTGTTTATCACTTTCAACATGAGAGATCTTTGCTATTTGGAAGGGCAGGTGTTATTACAGTTTTATGGAGGAGAAGTTAAAGTGAAGATTTACATTGAGCATCTCTCATGAAACAATTATTAAGCCTGTATGAGACATTTCTCTTCCTTAAAGTCTTTTCTGGGCCATTTCTACACTGGATTTCTTTGCTTGTTAGTTTTCTTTCTCTGGACTACCCCTTTTACAGAATCCAGCCTTGATATTTACTCTATTTTCTGCTTAGATTATCCTCATTACCCAGACTTTCTAATTCCATTTCTTCTCTCCTTTATATTTCTGGATCCTGCTCCTAAACTTACAAACACAAACCCATCTCCATACAATGAAGGTCATCCAGCCCCCTTAGACAGTAGGCAGAATTTCACGTAGCAGACCATTTCTTTTTCTGATATACATTCCTTTTCCTGCCACCCATAGACTTTAATCACTTTTCACAGCAGCCCCTTCCCTGTAACGGATCATTGCACATGGCAAGTAGTGGAGTTAGTATAGCTTCAGGCGTGCTTTCTCCTCTGTTTAGCATTTGAGATAATCTCGGCAGCTACAGTGGCTGGTGAAGATCAAAGGTATTTTGCCTGCCCGAGGTCAAGATCACTCTTGCTTTGCAAGCCTGTGAGTCTGAAAGTGACGTCAGCAGATACACTGCTTTCTCTCCAAAAAAGTTTTGGCAAAAAACACTAAGTGAAAGCAAAATATTTCTGAGGCAGCTCCTAAGTCATATAAATTTGTCTCTCTGTACTCTTTTCCTGAAATATTTTGTATGTTATAAACTTGAGGTTTCTGATGCATCTTGACTGCATGTGAGGCACTTTGGTGGTACATTTTTGGACAGAGAAACTAAAAAAGCCATCCTGTAATGAATTCTTTACCTAAGGCCCCACTTTAACACACTTTACCTGTATCCAGAAGTTGTATAAATGAGCTAGACTATATTATTCAGAGATTTAAAGTTAAAGATTAATACCTTCTGGTCAGTAGCTTTCTGGAATTTTTACCACAGATAAATATGAATGTTGCAGAAGAAAAGAAAGGGGAAAATAGCAAAATTATCAGAGTATTTCAGTGCCACAGTGTGTTTGAGAAACAAGATTAGGGAGCGCTAAAATGATTCAAATCATCTTAACCTGCTGCTGGTTTTCATACCTTGCACCTTTAAGTTGCAAGTAAAAAATTCTAAGCAAATTAGCTTAGGTGAAAAAGGAGAATTTATTGAATGGACATATACACACGTATCATGGAGTTTAAAGGCAAGAAAAAATTGAGTCTTCCTAAATGCTAGAACAAGGGCCTAGATAGTAGAGGCAGCCAACATCCCACCATTTCTTTGTCTTTTGTTTTTACTTCTGTCTGCACATCTACTTTCTTTCCCTGTACCTGCTTACAGGCTTTCTCTACTCCCAGCATGTGACAGGTTGGTGCTATCCAAAAAATTTCTACAGTGAGGGAAAAATTAGCTCTATTCCACATTTGCTCTGTTCAATATGGTAGGTCACTAGCCACATATGTCTATTGAGCACTTGAAATATGGCTGGGGTAACTAAGGTTCAAAATTTTAATTAATTTAAACTTAACTTCAAAATGCCACATGTGTCTAGTGACAACCATATTATACAATAAAGTTATAATATATGACTCTCCAATGGTGTCAGAGTTTGCATACCTGAATCCCAGTTTCAAGTTCTCAAGATAGAACCATCGATTGACCTAGCTTGTTTCAGGTACTACCCAGGTTCAACCAGCTTTGTCAAAGTAATGCGTGTATATAGTATAAACATGACAGCCAGGGTCAACCCTTATGTATGGAGAAAGGGATACCATACTCAGAAAAGTGATTATGTTCTGGATAGTCACTCCAAAACTCCAAAAGATCTCTGCTCCTCATAATACCTTCCTACCCTGATTAATTTTCATATCACCTTCACTTACTACAGGCAAAAGAGATTTAGGATTCTTGTTCATGCAATAATATGAATTACACTTTCCCTGATATCAGGGAGATACATCAATAATACACATCTTGCCATTAAATGGCAAAGATATAACAACTTAGGAATGATTCAGAAATCAGAAATCAATATCTGGAGGCATTTAGCCCCTTGAATATAGAAATATTCTTATATATAGATACACTTTTTTTGCTGTTGAAAGGTATCTCTAGTTTTTAAACAATGGAAGCAGTGGAAGAGCCCACATAGCTGGGCAATATTTGACCCTGGGATGGAGCCCTCTGCCCCAGGGTTAGGCAACCTTTCTAGTGTGGGTAGATAGGGAGTGTCAAGTGTAATCTGAGGCCAAAGCTTTCTGGGAAGCGTGCCCCTGATGTAGGCTATCTGAGTGCTCTGACCCTGTCCATCTGCCTACCTCATCTGTCCTGACCTATGAGGCCTGTAGCTCATTAAGATCTTGGCTATTGACATCTGACTTGCTCTAGCCTCAAGCTTTGCTTTCTGGCTTTCCACTCTGCATGCTCCTTGATCTCAATTTTTAAATCAGTTTCCCAATCTCTACCTTGCCATGATCGTATCAGCAATGGTTCCTGATTACTCAGCTTTTCTGTCTTAATGATCTTCCCTGAGGGCTCCGGCTAATGAGTCCTAGTGCCTGGCATGATGGATGAGCCTTTTAGCAAATACTTTCAGATAAACATTTTTCCTTCTTCTTTTCTGCTAACAAGTACATATGATGCACTGATACCTCAACTAATGACAAATGCATTCTAATGAGACTTCTTAAATATTGTCAGAAATTTATAAACTAGATTGGAATAACAGCATAGTATTAGACTTGCATTCCTGCTATAAAGAAAAATTATCTAAAACCTATAAATAAGGTCCAGAGGATAGCTGCATTATCTTTTAGTGTATATTTTAGGCACACCTTTAAATTATTTGATTTTGTAGGCTGATGTACCACTGTTTGACTTTGCCATTTACTGTTGATTAGTGCACATACACTGTGGAGTTATGTCTTTACTAGTAGTTTTTGTTCAATAGAGATGTGAATAGTTTCTGTGTGGTAAAAAAGATAAGCAACAGTTTATTGCCTGGTAGGACACTAAGTTGTTTTGTGTTTAAACGGACAATAATCTTACTCTAATATTATTATTTTTAAAATTGCCTATAAATAGTTTCTCAAAATGTTTTGTTTGAAATAACTTTATATCTACTGGTTCCCTCATTAATAAATGAGTTGAATACACTTTGAACATGTTCATCGTGTATTTGTATGGGTCATGTTAAGTTATGACAATTATATTTTGCCACTGCAGATGAAATAAAAAGGTTAATAATAGTAAACTAGTACTAGCGACAAAATCAAACATGAGTCTTCAGGAGTGGGAAGGTGTTGCATTGAAGACAGTGAGGTTGAAAGGAGTGAGAGAGTGGAAATTGGCACTCAGTCAGGGACAAACATGCCAGAAAGAGGACATTTACACAGAACATGGAGCTCCAATTGACATATGAGGGTTATCCTGGGCTCATTCTTCCCCTCACTTTATCACCAAGAAGCCATGGAAATAACTCTTTTGGGGACTGTGGCTACTCATCTTCAGCCAAGGAAGAGTTAGTAGCGCAATGTCCCTCCTGCCTAAGTCTAGGGTGCTGAAAGAAGGGCTAGGAGACCATCAATTATGATGCTATTCAGATTTATGTTCCTAAGAGACTCTGCACAGGTACCTCTGAAGACTAGTCTAAGGACTTTGAATGTGAGCTTCGGCTAGAAGTTTCTGAGGGTCTGTGGAACACTTAGGGAAAGCCCCCTCTTCTTGGGTCTGCCCTTCAGGACTGTGGAAGTCAAGAGCCTCAGATAAGCAGCAGCTTGGAAACATCAGAAGCCCTCCCAGGAATCTGCAGAAAGGACCAGCCTACGAAGACCTTATTCCTTGCAGACCTCTGCTTACATTTTTCACCTCCAACTAATTTGTACATTGATTGATAAGGAGGTCAATCCATGGTCTAGTGAGTGTCTATCTACATGGAGCGTAGACATTGTTGGCCTGTTGTTATACCCCTCAGCGAGGAAAAGGAATCAATTTCCCTCCCAGAAATCTAGTTGGATGAGTCTCAGCAAGTTACAACAAGGATCTACCTTACTCCCAAACTAACTGAAAACTCAACCATCAGATTCTTGGCAGAGAAAGGATGGAGGTAAACGTGACAATGAACTGAGAAGCTTCAGGCTCCACTGGTAAAGCAAGCGGGAGAAAAAGGCAAGGGAAGCACTTCTGCAGCCTCCACCCAGATTTTAAATTTATTTTTGTATCTTTTGAATAGGTTGCTCAAGGCCTTTGGTAAAATGACAAAATGAGGTTTTTTCAAATCTTCCTTTCACATCTTACAGGTATGAATGGTACTAGGTTTACCATTTTAAAAAGTCACAGTTGAGCTTCCAGCCTCTGTGTGTGTGTGTGTGTGTGTGTGTGTGTGTGTGTGTGTGTGTTTTCCTTTCATTAATGGGTTCTTTCCAAGTCAGGAAATCAACAAGAGACAAAATTTATAGCTAGACTAAGTTAAAGAATGCTGTTCTGAGCACTAGATTTTCTTTTCTGCTTTTAAAAATCCCCATTTGTCTTCACATTTTCTTTTCCAAACCCCTCCCCATCCTATTCCATGTGGCTGGAGGCTTAATATGCTAACACTTAGGAGAACAGAAGACTTTCTCCAGAGAGAGCTACAGAGCTGTTCTGTGTAACTGCCAGAACCGCCAACCTGAGCCTCCCAACACAGACCAGCCTGGCCCTGCCAGGATGCAATCTGTCTCCAGTCCCACAGCAGAAGAGAGGCCCAGGGGCACCTTGGACTGGCTTTCTTCCTCCGGCATTGGAGGATGGCTTCAAAGATTGGGCAAAGTCTCTGGAAAGTTTTTTTTAAAAAAGGTTATCTATTGAGGTGACCAATTGAAAAAGATACTGGCTAGGAACATATGACTTATTTTTTCTCAGCCATTTCTCTATTCACACCAGGCCCTCTTCTCACCCAGTTACAATCAAAGAAGGGATTTTTTAAAAAATTGTTGTTTCTTATGTTCCTTCTAGTAATATGTGCTGAGATGATTAAGAAAAAACTCTAATCTTACCATTATACAAGTTAATATAATTTAATTTTTATTCATTTCTTGGCATTGTGAAAGGCCATAGAGGTAAAAGAAGAGGATATTATCTCACACTTCAAGAACTTTCTTTTTTCTCACTGTTCTTTTTAATTCAAAAATAAAATGAGATGAATTTTACCAATAAACTTGACAAATATTATTTTTATATGATCACACCTACTAGTATAAGAAGGAGGTAAGGAAATGGACATCTTAAACACTGCTCATAGTGAATATAAATTGCATAAATTTTTGGAGAACAATTAAAAATATACATATGATTTACAGATGAAATGACATCAGGGGTTTGCTTTAAAACTATCTAGTAAGACATGAGTAGAGAGAAATAGGGTAGGAAGAATAAAACAAGATTGTTCATATATTAATAACTGTTGAAGTGAAAATGCATTAAACAATTTTATGTAATTTGTATATGTTTTTACAATTCCATAATGAGCATTTAAAAGGAAAAAAATACACAACACACAACCTTTCATTCATTTGTTTATTCATTAAATGTGTTTCCCAGGTGCCTGTGATGGTGCTAGGCATAGTTTTAAGTACTGAGGATATAGTAAGGTACAAACACACTCTTGCTCTCAATGAGCTTAATTCTAGGGACAAGAAAAAGGCTTTAAGGGCATTAAAAATGTACATAAAATATATCAGGTGGTGATCACTGCTATAAAAACAGGAACAGATTAAGGGAATGCCAGGTGCAGTTAGTTTTGTGCTTTTCAAGACAAGCCTCTGGTAGCATGATATTTAAACAGAGACTTAAAGAAATTTAGAAAGTAATCTCTGAATACTGTGTGGAAGAACATTCTATAAACATTCCAGGAAGAGGGAACAATACATGCAAAGGTGTGCTTGGTGTGTTTAAAGGCTAGCAAGGACAATCTGTGAGGAGGAGAGTGATGTGAGATAAGAATAGAGAGATACCAAGAAGCAAGATTTTTGGGGACCTTGCAGGTCATTGGAAAGACCTTGGCATTATTCTGAATGAGATGAGAATCCACTGGGGTTTTGAACAAATGGATAACATAATCTGGTTGCTCTGAAAAGAGTCTGTTGGAGGAGCAGACAAGCAAATGTAAAAATCAGGAGACCAGTTCAGAAGTCTTTCTCTTATCTAGGTGAGAAATGACAGTAGAGAGTTGATGAGAAGCCATTGGATTTCTGTCCATCTTGATGTCAGTCAACAGGATCTCCTGAGAGATTGGACATGTGATAAGGGAGAAAGAGAGATGGCTCCTGAGTTTTTGACCTAAGATACAAGACGAATGAAATTTCCATTTACACGTTTACCTTGAATTGTAAAAACAATTCAAGTGTTCTACATTTGTGAAAGTAGAGATAATTCTGGCTGAGATATTGAGTAAGCAGTTGGGTATATGAGTCTGGAGTTTAGGGAAGAGGTACTAACTTGATGTATACATTTGGAAGTAGTTGGTTTAGAGATGACAGTTAAATCCATGGAAAGAAAGGAAATCACCAAGAATAAGTATAAATAGAGAAGACAAGAGGTCTGAAGCCTGGGGCACCTACCACTGCAATGTTAGAGGTTAGGAACATTAGGAAGAACCAGCAAAGGACAGTGGAGAGCTACAGATGATGTTCTAGCAGTGAAGTGACCAAAAGGTGTTTCAGGAAGGGAAGGCCAAATACTGCTGATGGCTCAAGAAAGGTGAGGACTGAAGCCTGCACTTCGGATTTAGCAATGTGGGGTGCATTGCTGTTTTGTGATTATGATAGGACAGAAGCATGATGGACGTTTTTCAAGATAGAAAAAGAAGAGAGAAAGTGACAGTAAGTAATGAAAACTCAATATGAAGGGATTTGCTGTAAAGGGGCTGGCTGCATAAGTGGCATGGCCATGAACTGATGGCACACTCAAATTAGGTAATTTGGAATTTTAATAAATGGACTATGTACAAAGGTTTGAACAGAGAGTAGAGAACCCACAAAGGATAGTGCACTACCGTGGTGCCACTTAACATTGAGCTCTGTTGTTACCCTAGACCAGATGAGTGAGGGAGGGAGCCATGGCTGGAACCTGGAGACAGAAGGGAGAGGAGCTGGTGGACAGAACTTCCTGGCAGGACCTGCGATGCTCAGTAGAGGAATCAACCAGCCAATGGCAGAGCTCCAGGGGAGTAGAGTCAGCACCCCAACTTCACTGTCCTCTCTCCATCCTCCAATCTTTGCATCATGCTTTAGTGGCTAAACCCAAACAAAAGCAAGAGGGCCAGGGAGTTTGTTAATGAAGTTCATGCAGATCCACCTTCTGAGACACAGAAGCAGCCCAAGAAGTGGGTCTGAAGAGTTAAATGGAAGATACTCAGCACAAAGAAGATCAGAAACAGACCAGTGAGTGGAGGAAAGATACAGAGTTAAGAGAGCAAGAATTGATGGTAGCAGAAATTCCACTGCAGAACATTTCTTCTAAGGATATAATAATTGATACATAAAGGTTTTAGCTATAAATTGACATCTCAAGATAGCTAATAATAGCATAAAGTAGAAAATTTATGAAAATTTATTGACAATGAAATACTATCTAGCAATTAACAGCAATCATGTAGAAAAATATAGAATAACAAAAACAATCATGATAAATCATTAATTGGGCTGGGCACAGTGGCTCATGCCTGTAATCCCAACTTTTAGGGAGGCAGAGGTGGGAGGATAGCTTGAGCCCAGGAGTTCAAGACCTGCCTGGACAATATAGCGAGACCCCGTTCTCCACAAAAAGGAAAAAAAATCATTAATTGAAATAGATGTATAAATTCATAAATGCATTACATATATTTTGATTCTAATTTCTAAAAAAGAAATGTATCTGTTTACTTAGAAACAAAACTGGAAGCATTTGTACAACATGTTAAATGTCATTATCTTTGAATAATTTTATGGGTTTTTTTTTTGGCTCACACTCTTTATGGCATAGCCTGCATGATGGCTCACTTCCCTTCAGTATGAACACACCCCAACATCCACACCACCATGTAGTTCATGTGTATTTTAAGTTGTCCTTCTCATGCTGCTGCTCTTAATTCTACAGATTCATCACATTATTTGAAGTTGAGCTCCAAGGCATCTACATGGGGCCTTAATCACATGTTCTCCTTTGACTCTTTCTATTTCTTACAATAAAAGTCACGTGTTATATGTCTGGCTGCCACATATCTTTCCCATGAGGACCAAACTGGAGGAAGCACCAAGCCAGGTCTGGGGAATGGGAAGCACACTTGAGTCCTGTTATTGGTGATGGTAATAGATAGTAACCGCAGGTCAAAGGCAGCGCTTAGAGAATCAAGCACCAAACAAAATATTGCCATGTTGTAACTTCATTTGTGGGTCCTCTGTATAGGTGGTTGATGTAAAGGTAAATGGTGATTGTGATAAAACCATATAAAAGTATGTATTGAACCTGATTCTGTGCTGAATGCTAGGTTGGGAATTATGGGGGAAATATAGGAAATGGTCTTTGCACTCAAAGAACTTATTATTTAGCTGGAGACAAAATTAATATACAAACAAATGAGAATGATAAGTAGGATATAATTAAATATGTAAAATTGTTTCTTACAGGACATAAATTTTATGCATTTTGGAGGAAGTAAGGGTGAGATTAATCAGGAACGTGCTGTTAAAATGTTGAGCTGAACTCGGAAGGAGGAGTAGGGCTGGAAGAGAATCAGGACAAAATTTTGTGAGGGAACTAGACAGCCATGGGCCTGTTAGGGCTAGATTAAAAAATTCAAGGAGCAAGCAAGGGCAGAATGATGACAGACAAAAACTTTTTGTTTTTGTTTTTTTTTTTAATAAACATGAACTTTCCCAAGTTAACATGTGCGCATCAGAATACTCCTGTCCTGGGAAAATATTACATTCTTTAGCCAACTGACTGTAACATGACAACAGAATTAACTTTTAAAAAAATCTTCAGAGAAAAAGAGCCACTTGGTAGGGAGGTGATTTAGTTTAACAGGCCACTGAACAAGTTAGGAAACATGAATTTTAGTTCCCATAACGACTGTCTTTTGTTACCAAGTCTGTTAACCACCTTGACCTTGCATCAGATGAGACAGTTATTTATTGACTGCTTCCTCTATGTTAGGCCTCTTATATACATGATATTATTTAATTCTTATAACAACCTTAAGAGTAGGATTTTTAAAAAATCTCCATTATACAAATGAGGAAACTGAGATGCAGAGAAGACAAGAGAAACTTACCCAAGTTCACACAGCTAGAAGTGGTAGAGTTGTGATTAAACTGAAGCCATCTGACTTCAGGACACCACAGTGTCTCAAATAGTCTTGGTTTCACAATGTCAACATGTTCCACAGTCATGCAATGAAAACACATATGGGAAGGTTTACACAAATTCCACCTTTCTAACCCTTGTAGTTTTCTGTTTTTCCATCTTGTGATAGGGCATGACTTAAATCATAACATAGCTGCACACTTCACAAGAGTACTCCTTAAAAACTGAAGTATCTGTTTCCAAATAGCACTGAAATTCTAGAGGCCAAATATGTTTTCTAAGAGTGAGAAGTTCTTGGCCCAGTACCCAGGCACAAGAGTCTCCTGCTATGTGCTTCCATGGAAACGAGCCAGGGATGTCCACAGCTACACAGCACAGGAATGTGGCCCTTGCAGAGATAGTCAGGGAGGGTGCTTAACAAGATTAGGAAATGGCTACATTTCAGTAACCTGCAGGACTTGGAATTCACAGGAAATGATTTCTTCCCTTGTGGGAGCTAAGGCATTCAAGTAAATCTGAGCGCCTGTCAGAGAAGCAGCCGTCACTAGGCTTGCTGATTACATTTGCAGTTAAAACCCAAAATCCCCACTCCTAATAGTTCTTACTTTGAAAATTACATCTTATAGGTATCTTTGCTAATGTCTCCCCTACAAAACAGATTTAATCTTCACAGAAAATCCTTGAAGTCACAGAGATAAGCTACCCATGCAGATGCAAAGTAGAACGTTTTCCCAAAATGTAGGTGGAATTAGACTCCAGTGCATTAATCAATTTCTACATACCCAGATCTGCCTGGAAGTTCAGGTCATTCTTAACAACACCACCTTTTGCCTCAAATTCACAGAAGGCCATTCATGTTACTTTTGGGTTTTAAACCTGGTGTCTGATTGGTTTTTCCAGTGGGGCCATGGTTTGGTTAAGAGGACTATATTCTTTAGTCAGCCAAAAAGCAAACTATTCAGCAACCCAGAAGATGTTGGTGTAGATTATTGAAAGTTCCCTGTGAAATAATGCTGGTTCTTCTGGAAGCTTATCCAGCCAGCTAGGAAAGTCATTGCAGCAGTCTTTTTCTTTCAAAGCATTTGGAATTTCAGACATTTTTGGTGTGTGAAGGGAGAAAAAAAGCACCTGGTAGGAAAAAAATCTTTAAAAAACATACGTCTGCTCCACAAACGTGCTCCTCAGAATTGTGAAAAGGCCCCTACAAAAAAGTCAGACTACAAATAATGATTTAATTCAGCTCCTTTGGTGTGAGAACCCATCATCTTTTGTTCATGACAGCAATCTCCATTAAATAATAGTAAGTTAAAGATATCCCTGGCCAAATATCAGCTTCGGAGTGAAACCCTCTTTTAAGTTATTCCCTTGCCTCCCCTTAACGTTTTTGAGGTCAGATGGGCAGGCTGCACATTTAGAATTGGAGATGGGCTTTTCTTTATAGCTTCAGAACCACAGCCTTTTTCTCTGTATCAACCTTTTCTCTCTATATCTCCCCATTTCTTCCTCTTAAGACCTTCTCCCTTACCCTTTCCCTTTCAGATCACCCTGACTTCCATCTTTTTTCTCTGTTCTCACTTTTTGCTTTCTTTCTCTCCTTTTCCTTCTTTTTTCCTTTAAGTGTCTGTCTTCTTCTCATTCTCTTTCCATCCCTTCCTTATTTCCCTCTCTCAAAAACGAAAAGTGAACACACAAATACACTCATATCTGCTGAAATGTCCATTGTAATGGAGGAACACAAGGGTTTCCGAGGAGGCAGATTTGAGCTTCAGTTTAGTTCAGCCTGTTTTGGGTGAAACCTGAGCAGGGCAGGGCCCGTTTTTAGTATGCTTTTGCTTTTAAGCTACTCTTCCAAAATTATTTACATAGCTGTAGAATTGTGAACAATTTAGAATATTGTCATTGCTATGGTTTGGATGTTTATCCACCAAAACTTCATTGAAATTTGATCCTGGATGTTGGAGGTGCAGCCTAATGGGAAGTATTTGGGTCATGGGGGCAGATCCCTCATGAATAGATCAATCCCCTCCCAGGAGCTAGGGGCATAGGGGGTAAGTGAGCTCTTGTTCTGTTAGTTCCCATGAGAGCTAATTGTTACAAAGAGTCTGGCACCCCACCTCCCTCTCTCTTGCTTCCTCTCTCACCATGTGATCTCCACACATGCTAGCTCCCCTTCACCTTTGCCATGAGTGGAAGCAGCCTGAAGGCCACATCAGATGCCCACTCTTGAATCTTCCAGTCAGCAGAACTGTGAGCTAAATAAACCTTTTTTCTTTATAAATTATCCAACCTCAGGTATTCCTTTATAGCAACACTAAAAGGAGTAAGACAGTCATGGGTCATTATCATACTATTTTAAGAGTTTAATTGGCAGAAGTCATATCTTCACAGAAAAACTAGGTACCGGATGGTTAATAACTGAAAATCAGGCAGAAAACTGTAACAATCAAGAGATCAACAAAACATTGTTGAATTCCTATTATGTTTAGGACATTGTAATAAGCAAGACGGAGGATACAAGCAAACATATGCATTCTCAACCTCAAGTAGCTTGTAACCACATTTGAGATGACAAAGAACTTATACAAGAAAAAACAGCTAGACGTGGCTCTGATATTTATTGAGCATTTACTAATTGCCAGCCACTGTGGCAAGCTATTTACATGTGTTCTCTGCTGTAATTCTTGAAACAAATATAATGAATGCCACATACCATTATGACCCACATTTTATAGATGAGGAAACTGAGGCTTAGAGATTAAGTAAATTGCTTAAGGTCTCCCAGCATATGACATGGCTGGCAATTGAACTAGTATAAGTCAGCAAATGTTAAGTAGCAAATGAATGGGATAGAAGAATATTCATCCAGTTCAGAGCTGGAAAATCACTGTGTACTTGCTAAGTTACAAAAAGACAGCATCTCAGAACTGGAGAAGAACTCAGAGACCTGAATCTTCCCCACTCATGTCAGACTTGGAGACACTGGAAGCCAAAGGCAGGGATAATTTGCCTAAAATGGTGGAATATAAGTGGTATTTGGAGGATGTATAGAGGTTTGACAGACAGAGAATGCCAGAGAGCATTTCCAGGGAGGGAAACAGGAATTTTGTTTTCCTGAATAATATTCCAATTGTTTTTGATATTGTTTTATTTTCACTAAGAACTTTCTTCCACATCTGGCATCCAGAGAGAGGAGTTTGGGGAAGAGAAGAGGAGCACTTTTAACTGTTGCCATCTCCTGCAGTTTGAAAGTTTTCATCCCCATGGAACTCTGGGTCAGTCAATGTAACCAGTTCTTGTGTATCTGATGAAGGACTATGGGTATATAAGGGTATATCCAGGGATAGGCAATAACATGAATGAAGTAAAGCTATGGTAGAAAAAGAAATAAAATAAAAAATACGTTAAAATACAACATAAAGCATTGAAGCAGAAAAAGTCAAACCTGCAGGAAAATCTGCCCTGGACTCTTTCTTCTGTGTTGTTCTAACAGAGCCTAGTTTTATATAGAATGTTTGCTGCAAGACGAGACACAAATAGTTCCGAGGATTAACTTTGAATTTCCTGGATTTGGTGGGCATAAATCAGGGCCTTCATGCTATTTTAACACTTTTTGAAAACAAGGTCCTTATGAATAAATGGCAAAAGTGGGTCAAGAAATGCTTTATTCATTAATAAGTAAAATCTAGAACTTGGAGTAATGCTCCCTAATTATGAAATGGGCAGCACTCTCTACTGTGTTCCGATTGGCTGACATCAGTTTGAATGCAAAGCTTTATTTCACTGCAGAGTCCTGGCATACTTTACACATTAAAATTCTAAGCTGTCTAAGTAGGTGTGAAACTAATTTTGTGTTTATTTTTTAAAACCCACCTATGATCATTTAGGACCATCCACTTCACTTTGGGAGGGCAGCACCCGGTTGTAGGTAGGCCCTGGGAGACAATAAAGGAGAGGATAATTTCTTAAATGCCTTAAACCAGAATATTTATAGCTTCCTGGAATAGTTGTAACTACTTATCCATTTTTCCAGCCACAACTTTTCTTAATAAGAAGGGCTTTGAAAAACCTGCTAAATCTGGGCATAAAAGGAAACACAAGTTTTCCTAGAGCAGTGGAATTTTTTAAAGTCACATAGTAACCTTATTGATGAAATCAGGAAGCGAGCACTTTCAGATCAGACTTAAGGGAGGTTATTTACAAAACACAGGCCTTTCTCAGCAGAGCAGGCATATTCTGCGAGGTTTCTTGCAATACGAAGATATATACTATGGCTGATTTTAAGCAAGTCATATGGTCTTGTGGACCCTTCTTCAATGGGAAATGTTAAATAGCATTACTAGCAAGTGATTCACTCAGAACCACCAGGAAGACTATTTGCAGAGGTCGCTTGACACTTTAAAAATAGTGATAATAATAGAGTCAGATTCATTAGCAGTTAAGTTGGAAAGAAATATTTTTTCTGCTTGAATAGAATGTATCTTCCTTGAATTAGGCTTCTCTTGAAAACACTTTATGAATGTCTATTCTGATAAAATCTAATTTTTAAATTTTATTGGGCCATGGACAATCTAATCTAATGTACATTTTTGGAAAAGCTATATTCATACTGACCACCAAGAACTGATGCTTTGGTACCTTCCCCCATAAAGATTTTAACTGATATATTTTCTCTTAATATTCTTCCTCCTTTAAAAAATTAAGTAAAATAATTTTGAATGTTGTGAAACAAAATCTCCCTCTCCAAACTAGTGGCTTTCCATTCTAGAGGCCACCATCCTTTTATTATATCTCCTTCAGTTAGGTCCTTTGAACCGGAACTGATAAGGAAAAGGTTGAGTTTGGTCTATGCCTTTTGGCTGTAATCTCTTCACACTGCTGAGCCTGGCCAGGGTTCTGTAGATGCATTTCATTAGTCCTGAAACTGCTGAGAAACTGGGAGTCCATCACCACGGCACAGGTTATACAAAACATACAGATCAGAGGCATCAACTTTGAATGCAAAAGGCATAGATCATAGCTAAATAATGAGACCAATCTTATAGTAAGCACATTATATTAAAGGCAAATCCCTTTTATTTTCCAACAAATATTATGAGACATTATACAAGTTATTGCAAAGCATTAAGGAAAATGCAAAGACGTATAAGATGTAAAGCTTTCCTTCGAGAATGGTTGAAGGAAAACTTTGTTTCCAGAACTGTACATAAGATGATGCATGAACACCAACAACTGAACATAAATGGCTATAAAATAGCATAAGAATGGCATAAGGAAGAAACTGTAGGATTTAGGAAGGTTCACTTTTAGCTAAGAAAGACTGAGTAGGGGTAACTAGTAAAGATGTAAGGATGCTGAATGTCATGAACCAAGCTAGAATGTAGACAAATATATGTGTAATAAAAAGAACATTAAAGGGTGGCTCCATTATTGAGGCCTGATCTGCCAGTTACCCTCAGAGACCCTTGGGTCAGATGTTCCATTTCTCATAACCAAAGAGGAGACATTAATTACAGTTAAATATTATTTGGTTAAAGAAGAATTAGTTGACTCTTGCTAGAAATTAGATTTAGAATTCTGAAACTATATGGATGTTAATTGTTATGACTTTTCATTATCTTCAAGGAAGACCAGGGCTATTAAAAATCCCATCTGATTCTCAGGAAGTGAAGGTGACATAAAAGGTTTTAAAACTGCATTGATTCCTGATGAATTTGTTAATATTTTTCTTTAACTATTGGGTTTTCTTTAACTATTGAGTTTTCTTTAACTAACAAGGGGTTTTATTTTGAACTTCCTAGCCAACTTTGGCCACATCAAAGAACACTTAGTTTTTAAACACATTTTTAAAGTGACTCATTACTATATTATTTAAATTGTGAACTATAATGCCTTGCTTAGGGAGTAAATAGCTGTCCATGCTAAATAATTGAACATTTTCACAGAAATTATTTTGAAGACAAGCCTTAATCTAAATAGTTATTGTCATCTTCAAACTGAGGGCTATACATAGCAACTAATAGTGTGGAACTTTGGAAGGTAAGTCACCTTCTCCGTTGACCTACTTCCCTTATTTTTCTACTCTAAACTGCCACAATCTGGATCCAAAATGCAGCCTGGCTTTTCTTAGCAAGCCAAGCACATTCTTGGACTTTATAAATGCATTTACTGAAGTCTTATAAAGGAATTATTAGTCAGAGACTGCAGGGAAACAAGTCAAACACATTTCCTGCCCTCATGAAAGATAAAGTCAATTAGGGTAGGCACATATCAAACAAAAAATTACACAAATAATTATTTAATTGCAGTTCTTATGAAGGGAGACATGTGTCCTGGGGGGCTATGAAGGCATTGAGTGTCTGCAGCTTTTCCTGGTGCATGGTGCAAGCTGTCGTTGAATCTACCATTCTGGGGTCTGGAGGATGGTGGTCTTCTTCTCACAGCTCCACTGTGCGGTGCCCCAGTAGGGACCCTGTGGAGGTTCTGACCCCACATTTTCCTTCTGCACTGCCCTAGCAGAGGTTCTCAATGAGGACCTTGCCCTGGCAGCATCTTCTGCCTGGGCATCCAGGCATTTCCATATATCTTCTGAAATCTTGGCAGAGGTTCCCAAATCTCAATTCTTGACTTCTGTGCACTCACAGGCTCAACACCACGTGGAAGCTGCCAGGGCTTGAGGCTTGCACCCTCTGAAGCCACCACCCGTGCTCTACATTGGCCCCTTTCAGCCACAGCTGGAACAGCTGGGACACAGGGCACCAAGTCCCTAGGCTGCACACAGCATGGGGACCCTGGGCCCAGCTCATGAAACCACTTTTTCCTCCTGGACCTCTGGGCCTGTGATGGGAGGGGCTGCTGTGAAGACCTCTGACATGCCCTGGAGACATTCTTCCCATTGCCTTGGGGATTAACATTTGGCTGCTCATTACTTATGCAAATTTCTGCAGTTGGCTTGGATTTCTCCTCAGAAAATGGTATTTTCTTTTCTATCGCAGTGTCAGGCTGCAACTTTTCTGAACTTTTAAGCTCTGCTTCTCTTATAAAACTGAATGCCTTTAACAGCACACAAGTCACCTCTTGAATGCTTTGCTGCTTAGAAATTTCTTCTGCTAGATACCCTAAATCATCTCTCTCAAGTTCAAAGTTCCACAAATCTCTAGAGCAGGAGCAAAATGCCACCAGTCTCTTTGCTAAAACATAACAAGGGTCACCTTTGCTCGTGTTTCCAACAAGTTCCTCATCTCCATCTGAGGCCACCTCATCCTGGACCTTATTGTTCATATTACTATCAGCATTTTTTTCAAAGCCATTCAGCAAGCCTCTTAGAAGTTCCAAACTTTTCCACATTTTCCTGTCTTCTTCAGAGCCCTCAAAACTGTTCCAGCCTCTGCCTGTTACCCAGTTCCAAAGTTGCTTTCACATTTCTGGGTACCTTTTCAGCAATGCCCCACTCAACTGGTACTTATTTACTGTATTAGTCCATTTTCACACTGCTGATAAAGACATACCTGAGACTGGGCAATTTACAAAAGAAAGTGTTTTATTGGACTTACAGTTCCACATGGCTGGGGAGGCCCCACAATCATGGCAGAAGGCAAAGAGGAGCAAGTCACATCTTATATAGATGGCAGCAGGCAAAGAGAGCTTATGCAGAGCAACTACCATTAAAACCATCAGATCTCATGGTATTCACTATCACAAGAATAGCATGGGAAAGACTCACCTCCATGATTCAATCATCTCCCACTAGGTTCCCCTCACAACACTTGTGAATTATGGGAGCTACAGGATGAGATTTGGGTGGGAACACAGAGTCAAACGATGTCAGATACCAAGTGTAAGCTGAGGACAGGAAAGGAGAATGAGTAGGCAAGAGAGGGGCTGGCAGAGGCCAAAGCAGGGAGGGGTCATGTGTGGGGCTAGTCCTGTAGCTCAAGACTTTGGCACCATCTGGGGATAGGAGACATGAGAGATGGTCAAAATATTTCAGTATTTCAGGCTATAATGGGCTGAAGAGATTGGAGAAGATAAGATGAGAGAAGAGAAGAAACAAGACAAGAAGAGAGTTTCAGGAAGGGGAAGAGACAACAAGGCCAGAGAGAGCCATTTGCAGTGGATCAGTGATAGGTTAAATTTCAGTGGCCAAATAAGAGGAAGACATAAAATGAATTGAATGACAAAGTAGGTAGAGACAAAAGTCAGAAGGTAACAGGGTCATGGAAAGGTTTGCCTTTAAGACCGGAGTAACTTGAAGGGAAAGAGCCAAAGAAAAGGTGAGGCAGTGACATAGGGAGCAAAATGGGAAACATGTCACAGTTTGATAGATTGGCCTTGAAGAGAAAAGTGGACTTCTATACTCAGAAGAATTTGCATTTTAATAGAGAATAATACTTTAATTCAGAGCAGTGTAGTCTAATAAAATATACAATAGGAGACATATATGTAATTTGAAATTTTCTTTAATTCACATTAAAAAAGTAAAAGGGAACAGCTGAAATTAAAAAAAAATTATTGTTATGGGTACATAGTAGGTATATATACTTATGGGGTACATGAGATATTTTGATACAGGTATACAAGGTGTAATCATCACATCAGGGTAAATGGGTTATCCATCACCTCAAGCATTTATCATTTCTTTGTGTTACAAACATTCCAATTATTCTTTTCGTTATTTTTAAATGTACAATAAATTATTGCTGACTGTAATCACCCTGCTGTGCTATCAAATGCTAGATCTTATTCTTTCTATCTAACTATATTTTTGTATCTGTTAACCATCCACATACCCCACCCACTACCCTTCTTAGCCTCTGGTAACCATCATTCTAGCCTCTCTCTCCATGAGTTCAGTTGTTTTAATTTTTAGCTCCCACAAATGAGTGAGAATATGTGAAATTTGTCTTTCTGTGCCTGCCTTATTTCACTTAATATAAGGTCCTCCAGTTTCATCCATGTTGTTGCAAATGATAGTATCTCATTCTTTTTATGGCTGAATAGTACTTCATTGTTTATATGCACCATATTTTCTTTATCCATTTGTCTTTTGCTGGATACTTAGGTTGCTACCAAATCTTGGCTATTGTGAATAGTGCTGCAATAAACATGGGCATGCAGATATCTCTTTGATATACTGAATTCTTTTCTTCTAGATATATATCTAGCAGTGGGATTGCTGGATCATATGGTAGTTCTATTTTTAGTTTTTTGAGGAACCTCCATACTGTTCTGCAGAGTGGCTGTACTAATTTACATTTCCACCAAAAGTGTATGAACAAGGGTTTCCTTTCTTCCATGTCCTCACCAACATTTGTTATTACCTGTCTTTTGGTTAAAAGCCATTATAACTGGGGTGAGATAATAGCTCATTGTAGTTTTGATATGCATTTATCTGATGATCAATGATATTGAGCACTTTTTCATATGCCTGTTTTGACATTTGTATGTCTTATTTTGAGAAATGTGTATTCAGATCTTTTGTTCATTTTTAAGTCAGATTATTAGATTTTTTCCTATTAAGTTGTTTGAGCTCCTCATAGATTCTAGTTATTAATCCCTTGTCATATGGATAGTTTGCCAGTATTTGCTCCCATACTGTGGGTTGTCTCCTCACTTTGTTGATTGTTTCCTTTTCTGTGCAGAAGCTTTTTAACTTGATGTGATCGTATTTGTCCATTTTTGTTTTGGTTGACTGTGCTTTTGGGGTATTACTCAAAAAATCTTTGCCTAGACCAATGTCCTGGAGAGTTTCTCCAATGTTTTCTTTTAGTCATTTCATAGATTAAGGTCTTAGATTTAAGCCTTTAATCCATTTTGATTTTATTTTTGTATATGGTGAGAGATAGATGTATAGTTTCATTCATATGGCTATCCAATTCTCTCAGCACCATTTATTGAAGAGACTGCCCTTTCCCCAATGTATATTCTTGTCCCCTTTGTTGAAAATGAGTTCACTGTAGATTTATCAATTTGTTTCTGGGTTCTCCATTCTGTTCCATTGGTCTGTATGTCTGTTTTTATGCCAGTACCATGCTGTTTTGGTTACAATAGCTCTGTAGTATAATTTGAAGTTAGGTAATGTGATTCCTCCAGTTTTCTCCTTTTTGCCTAGGATGGCTTTGGCTATTCTGGGTCTTTTTTGGTTCCATATAAATTTTAGGATTTTTTTTTTCTATTTCTGTGAAGAATGCCATTGGTATTTTGGGGTTGCATTGAATCTGTAGATTGCTTTGGGTAGTATGGACATTAACAATACTAATTCTTCTAATCCATGAGCAAGAAATATCTTTCCATTTTTTTAGTGTCCTCTTCAATTTATTGCATCAGTGTTTTATAGTTTTCATTGTACAGAGCTCTCACTTCTTCGGTTAAGTTTATTCTGAGGTATTTTATTTGTAGCTGTTATAAATGGGAATACTTTCTTGATTTCTTTCAGCTTGTTCATTGCTGGAAATACTACTGATTTTTGTATGTTGATTTTTTCTCTGCAACTTTACTAAATTTTTTAATTAATTGTAGTAGGTTTTTGGTGGAGTCTTTAGGTTATTCCAAATGTAAGATTATGCCATCTGTAGCACAAAGGTAATTTGACTCCTTCATTTCCAATTTAGATGGCTTTTATTTTGTTCTCTTGTCTGACTGCTCTATCGAGGACCTCCAGTACTGTGTGGAATAACAGTGGTGAAAGTGGGCCTCCTTATCACATTCCGGATCTTAAAGGAAAGGCTTTCAGTTTTTCCTAATTCAGTATGATGCTACCTGCAGGTATGTCCTATATGGCTTTTCTTGTATTGAGGTATGCTTCTTCTGTAACCAGTTTTTTGAGGGTTTTGTTTTTTAATCATGAAGGGATGTTAAATTTTATCAAATGCCTTTTCAGCATCAATTGAAATAATCATGATTTTTGTCCATTCTGTTGATATGATGTATCATATTGATTGATTTTACTTATGTTGAACCATCCTTCCATCCCTGTGATAAATCCCACTTGGTCATGATAAATGATCTTTTTTTTTTTTTTTTTGAGACAGAGTCTTGCTCTGTCGCCCAGGCTGGAGTGCAGTGGCACACGATCTCGGCTCCCTGCAAGCTCCACCTCCTGGGTTCACGCCATTCTCCTGCCTCAGCCTCCCGAGTAGCTGGGACTACAGGCACCCGTCACCACACCCAGCTAATTTTTTTGTATTTTTAGTAGAGACAGGGTTTCAGCGTGTTAGCCAGGATGGTCTCGATCTCCTGACCTCGTGCTCCACCTGCATCAGCCTCCCAAAGTGCTGGGATTACAGGCATGAGCCACTGCGCCCGGCCGATGAATAATCTTTTAAATGTGTTGTTGGATTTGGTTTGCTAGTATTTTGTTGGGGACTTTTGCAATAATGTTCATGGGGAATATTAGCTTGTAGTTTTGTTTTGGTTTGGGGATTTTTTTTTTTTTTTTTGGAAGTGTCTTTGTCTAGTTTTGGTATCGGTAGTATGGCCTCATAAAATAAGTTTGGAAGTATTCCCTCCGCCTCTGTTTTTTGAAATGGTTTGAGTAGTATTGATATTAATTCTTTATTTGGCAAAATTCCACAGTGAAGCCGTTGGGTCCCAGGGTTTTCTTTGCTGGGAGACTTTTTATTATGGCTTCAATCTCATTACTTGTTACTGGTCTATTTAGGAGTTGGATTTCTTCATGGTTCAATCTTGGTAGGTTGTATGTGTCTAGGAATTTATCAATTTCTTCTAGGTTTTTTAAGCTATTGGTATATAGTTGCTCATAGTAGTCCCTAATGATCCTTTGAATTTCTGCAGTATCAGTTGTAATGTCTCCTTTTTCATCTCTGATTTTACGTATTTGGGTTGGCTCTCTCTTTCTGTCTAAAGGGTTGTCAATTTTGTTTATCTTTTCAAAAAATCAACTTTTCATTTTTGTTGATCTTTTATATTTATTTCATTTCAATTTCATGTATTTCTGCTTTGATCTTTATTATTTATTTCTACTAATTTTGGGTTTCATTCTCTTTTCTAGTTCTTTAAGACACATTTTTAGATTAGTTATTTGATGTTTTTCTTCTTTTTTGATGTAGGCTCTTATTGCTTTCCTCTAGTATTGCTTTCACTGTATCCTATAGGTTTTGGTATGTTGTGTTTCCATTTTCCATTTTCATTCTTTTCCAAGAAATTTTAAATTTTAAATTTTAATTTTTTTATTGACTCACTGGTTGTTCAGGAGCATCTTATTCAATTTTCACGTGTTTGTATACTTGTTCTTGCTATTGATTTCTTGTTCTGTTGTAGTCAGAGAAGATATGTGATATGATTTTAATTTTTTAAAATGTTTTAAGTTGAGTTTTGTGGCCTAACATGTGGTCCGTCCTCAAGAATGATTCATGTGCTAAGGAGAAAAATGTGTATTCTGCAGCCATTGGATGAAGTGTTTTGTAAATATGTATTAGATCCATTTGGTCTATTGTATAGATTAAGTCCAATGTTTCTTTGTTGATTTTATGTCTGGAAATTCTGTCCAATGCTGAAAGTGGGGTGTTGAAATCTCCAGCTATTTTACTGGGGGCCTATCTCTCCTTATAGCTCCAATAATATTGCTTTATATATTTAGGTGCTGCAGTGTTGGATGTACGTGTGTGTGTGTGTGTGTTTGTGTGCATATATATATGTATGTGTGTATATATATGTAACAATTATAAATATTTTTGTTTATTTCATTTCAATTTCATACATTTCTGCTCTGACCTTTATTATTTATTTTCTTTAATATTTATGTAGATGTATTTATAATTGTATCCTATTGCTAAATTGACCCCTTTGTTATTATATAATGACCATCTTTGTGTCTTTTTATAGTTTATGTCTTGAAATCTATTTTATCCTATATAAGTATAGCTACTCCTGCTCTTTTTTGTTTCCATTTGTGTGGGATATCTTTTTCCCATGCCTTTATTTGCAGTCTATGTGTGTCTTTATAGGTGAAGTGTGTTTCTTGTAGGCCACAGATCATTGGATCTTGTTTTTTTTAATCCCTTCAGCCACTCTTTTGATTAGAGAGTTTAGTTCATTTACATTCAATGTTATTGATAAGTAAGGACTTACTCCTGCCATTTTGATATTTGATACTGGTTTTTTTTTTATTTTGTGGTCCTTCCTTCCTTCCTTCCTTCTTACCGTCCATCTTCCTTTTAGTGAAGGCAATTTTTCCAGGTGGTATGTCTTAATTTTTTAATTTTTATTTTTTTTGCGTGTATTTGTTGTAGGTTTTTGGATTTGAGGTTACCATGAGGCTTACAAATAACATCTTATAACCCATTATTTCAAACCGATGACAACTTAACACTGATTGCAAAAACTAAGATAAAACTAACAAAAACTATATACTTTAATCTCATCACACTCACTTTAACTTTGTTTCTATTTATATCTTGTTATATTGTCTAGGTCTTGAAAAGTTGTCATAATTACTATTTTTGATAGGTTCATCTTTTAGTCTTTCTACTCAAGATATGAGTAGTTTACACACCACAATTTCAGGGTTATAATATTCTATGTTTGTCTGTGTATTCACTATTGCCAATGAGTTTTGTACCTTCACATGATCTCTTATTGTTTGTTAATGTTTTCTTTCAGATTGAAGAACTCCCTTTAGCATTTCTTGTAAGACAATTCTGGTATTGATGAAATCCCTCAGCTTTTGTTTGACTAGGAAAGTCTATTTCTTCTTCATGTTTAAAGGATATTGTTGCTGGATGTGCTATTCTATGATAAATTTTTTTTTCTTCCTTTAGCACTTTAAATATGTCTTGCCACTCTCTCTTGGCCTGGGAGGTTTCCACTGAGAAGCCTGCTGCCAGACATTGGCATTCCATTGTATGCTATTTGTTTTTTTTCTCTTGCTGCTTTTAGGACCCTTTATCTTTGAACTTTGGGAGTTTGATTATTCATTGTCTTGATAGTATTATTTGGGTTAAATCTGCTTAGTATTCTACAACCATCTTGTACTTTAGTGTTGATATCTTTCTCTCATTTTGGAAAGTTATCTGTTATTCAATCAAATAAAATTTTTACCCCAGTCTGTCTCTCTTCCTCCTCTTTAAGGCTAATAACTCTTAGATTTGCACTTTTGAGGCTATTTTCTAGAACTTGTAGGTATGCTTCATTCATTTTTATTCTTTTTTCTTTCATTTCCTCTGACCATGTATTTTCAAATAGCTTGCTTTCAAGCTCACCAATTCTTTCTTCTGCTTGATCAGTTCTGCTGTTGAGAGACTCTGATGCATTGTTTAGTGTGTCAACTGAATTGCAGCTGAAATTAGTGGGTTTTTGTTTGTTTGTTTGTTCTTTTGTTTGTTTTTTTTTGACATAGAGTTTCACTCTTGTTGCCCAGGCTGGAGTGCAATGGCACAATTTCGGCTTACTGCAACTTCCGCCTCCCAGGTTCAAGCGATTTTCCTGCCTCAGCCTCCCAAGTAGCTGGGATTACAGGCATGTGCCATCATGCCCAGCTAATTTTGTATTTTTAGTAGAGACGGGGTTTCGCCATGTTGGCCAGGCTGGTTCTGAACCCCTGACCTCAGGTGATCCACCCACCTCGGCCTCCCAAAGTGTTGGGATTACAGGCGTGAGCCACCATGCCTGGCCTGAAATTAGTTTTAATATATTTTATTTAATCCAGACTATCCAAAATGTTATCCTTTTTATATGTAATCTATTACAAATTATTAATTATATATTACAGATTATATATACATATTTATACTGAGTCTTCTAAATCTAGTGTGTGGGTTATACGTACAACACTTTTCAGTTTGGGCTTGCTACACTGCAAATGCTCAATAGCCATACAAGGCTGGTGGCCACTGTGTTGGATACTGTCAGCTCAGAACTCCCCAACTGTTGACCAATATTTTGGTCCCCTCAACTCTTGGAATAGCTGTGATGGGCCTGAAGCCCATAGTGTATTTGTATGGCATGTGTGGTAAATAGAGGAGACTGGTTATGCTTCAGATGATTGAAGCAAAATAAGGCCACTTATGCTACCCAAGATGTAATGGTAGGAACTCCCCTTATCTTGCCTGAGTGCCCAAAGTCTCATCTTTTTTGGTTTCCCTCATCAAAGTTTCCTGGGAATGTTGAGGGAATGCTTCCATATTTCCCTGAATCCATCCTAATTATCCCTTGTGCTCATGGACAGCTTTTGACTGCCCTACTCTTTTGAAAATCACCTTGGGCCACCTTGCCAACCTGCTCACAGGTTGCTGTCACTCTCTTAAAATTTTTCTCTCCAAGAGTAGCCCAAGGTTGCCCCCAAATTTCCCACTGCAGAGTTTATATTCTTGTAACTTTACTGAAGACTTAGAGAGCCACAGAAGGGAATTTGTGCACAGACCTCAAGACTGGATGCTAGATATGGGTGCTCTCAGAGTCCTCAGATACAGGCCCCTTAATATCTTTCTTGTGGGCACCTCTCTGCTGAGCTTTTGGCTGGTTTCACCTTGATAGGGTTCAGCTTCTCCTCCTTGCTTTAAACTGGTTGGGGCTGACTCACCTCTTCCACAAGGAGTATATCCTAATTGATGTCTTTCCTATCTACACACTCCCAGGTCCAGGAAAGAAGGCATTTTACTAAAAGAATCCTCATGTGCAGAGATAACAGTTCCAGACACAAGAAAATGTTTCCTTCATAACCTAGCTCTTTTAAGATCTTGCAATTTCAGCAGGAAAGAAAGAATCTGAGGCTCTACTTCGAGAGAAACAATCTGCTTGTCCTTTAAAATGAGAGCCTATTTAGCAATTTCGGGAGATAAGTACAGTCTCAGCTAAAACTCCTCATTACATAATGTATTTCTATGTACATCATTTTATAAACCCATTAAGGATCAGTAAGTTTTGTAGATAAATTCTAGGATATAAATTAGATATTAAAATATAAATAATGCTTTTTCTCTGATAGTTCTTAAAATGGGTTTTAGTATTGTTTATCAAGATTAAAAATCAGTTTCACTTTGAATCCTTTTTCATGTAAAATTCTTGAAATAAGAATGGGTGAGCCACTTTGGGGTCTAGTTCAGGCTGCCTCACAGCGGCTGGCTATATTTCATTTAGACATCTGTCTATCACACTTTTAATGGTGTTCAATAATATGCTTAAGCAGCATAGGTGCTGAACAAACTCATGGATGCTGAGAAATTTCCAAGGTAATGTATAATCATATCCAATACTTTAAATAAATACACAATTTACTTTATAAAATGTTGTCAGTTTTGTACTCAAAACTAATGATAAACTTTGAAATGATTTTCTTTGGTAGCAATCTAATATTTGTATTGTTTAGCTAGTACTATAAAATGGTGAATATTATTTTCATGTACTAGCATTATTTTATTTGTATTACACTTACATACATTTTTAACTGAGATATTATTTTAGGTTAATCATCAATGTAATTTAGCAGACAAAAATGATAAATGTATACAGACAATGAAGAGATTTTTCTAAAGCCGAAAAACAAGAAGCTTTTGTTTCTGTCTCTCTGGCTCTGGATCTACAATATATTTCCTATGAGGTCAGAAGGCAATCTCCTTTCAGAAAATAGTGACATTGCCTTCATAGAGTAAGCATTGATGTTAGTAAAAACTAGTTATTACAGACTGTGTTTCCTGCACTGACTTAAATTTATTTAGATAAACAAGTTTATTTGAATGAACAATATAGACAAATCTCTTCTGTCTACATTGCTAATGTTTTTTGTCCTCTTTTTCTCTTACTCTTTTTGGATTTCCTTATGGGATGGTAACACACCCAGCTAAACAATGAAAATCTGAAGTAGACCATGTTTCTTTATGTCTTTATACCTGTTATCCAAATTTGTTTGATTGATTACTTCTTATGGGTGGTTTTAATATTAGGTAACAATAATAATAAAATGATAATTGCTTCATATATTTCATTTTATAAAGATTTTCCAGTTTAAGTCTCTGGAAATAGTGGAGTAATATCATTATTTTCATTTTATAGGTATGGAAACAGAATTCAAACAGTTGAATGATTTCCTAAATTTTTAGAGCTGGGACTCAAACTCAGGTTATCTGATTTCAAATTCTATTAATGTTAATTTCATTATACCACATTGCTTTAGTCTATTGACTTATTCATTAAACAATTGTTCAACACCTTCTAAGTATTCAGCATTTCAAGAATGGAATGTTGGTAGAGGCCAAGATAAACCAGTTCATTAAGATGTTTGATAGTAACTAATGTTTATTGACTACTTAAAATATGCTAGGAATTTTTCATCTATTTCCTTTAGCTATCACCATACACTACGGTAAATATTGTTTCTGACTTACAGATGAGGCAAATGAGGCTTGAAGAGCTTAAATACCTTGCCCAAGAGGTATCTGAAGCCCAATTGCCTGATTCCAGAGCCTTATGGTTGGAGGAAGCTCATGTATATATAGCTGTTTATTGAGTGCTATGTACCACATACTTTTACTACGTCCTGTTTATATAAGATGAAGAGACAAAGTCCCTGATTTGAAAGACTAAACCATCCTATTAAGGGTGTAGATGAGTAAATAATGAGTGAGACTATCAGTACCAAGGGGGCAAGGTGTTTATTAGAACCACCATAGGTGA
The DNA here is from genome assembly GCF_000001405.40 of Homo sapiens. Classification (NCBI taxonomy): domain Eukaryota; kingdom Metazoa; phylum Chordata; class Mammalia; order Primates; family Hominidae; genus Homo; species Homo sapiens. The sequence continues at coordinate 79,767,625 of NC_000013.11, forward strand.
GCAGGCTCATGACCAGTGCAAAGAAGTAATTGCAGAAGTATCTCCAGCTATTTTTATTTTCTATTATTTATTTATAAACTTCTAAATATGTATTTATTACAAACTTCTAAATTATTTTTTTCTCACACATCTCAAAATGCTACAAGCATTAGAATAAAGACAGTATTCAATGAATCCTTTCTAATCGAATATATTATGTGGAAGAATTATTTCAAATAAACATGATTTGGTGGGTTGCTAATAGTAAGTGCCTTGCTCTAAGATTCTTAAATTTAAGAGGCTATAAGATAATTTCTCATTTGAATAATTTGTCTTTGAATAAAAATAAATTACATATATTTGCAAAAACATGTTGTCAATAAAGCACCATCCAAAATATCATCATTTGGCCTTATGTTTCAGTTTGCTAAAGCTAAAGATCCTAGAAGAAGACATGTATGTGCCTTTCTATGGCTGCCACTAATGCTGTCAGTTTTAGATTTTTGTCTATTATAAAAGACACTGTAAAATAACAAATAATTTTTCTTTGTAACACACATACTCAATAGTTAATAGACTGCATTTTGCATTTCGTGTTTAAGAAGGTCCCCACCTGAAACTCCTCTTAAAAGTAAAGAAAGTAAAGCATCTCTTTGCACCATTATTATTAATCCTGGATTGGGCAAATGGGCTTTCTTCCATATTGTGCTTTTACTAACTGCTGAAGAGAGTATCTTACAGACAAGGAAGGTGGGTTTCTGATGAGTTTGCTGCCAGTTATGTCACTTAGCCTTAGAAACTCTCCTTGTTGTAAAAGTAATAGTAATAATAAAATAAAAACTTTGCAAACCTCTAACAGAAGATGACATTCACAGACCAGGGGCAGACAGAATTTAAAGATGGTCACTGTAGTTGTTAACATCTACTGTAGGCTTTTTAGAGAAGTTGATAATGAGCTCAAAAGTATAAAAAGCTCAAAGATTTATTTTGGATGACTCAAGTACCCCTTTACTTAAAATCAGTGCTCTTGATTTCCAACTGCAAGGAATGAGGGCCCTTGTTGAATCCACTTCCAGACTTTTTTCCAGTTTTGAACATCTATATTCTCTTATGGATATAGAAAACCTACACAAAGGCATTGACCCCGATTACCCAGAATGATGGCTAAATCTTTGCAGATGGCTCCTAATGAGTCTACATGTAAAATCCTGATATTCGGTCCAGAAAGAGCATATATAAAGGATGGATGGAGAGGATGTGCTAGCATTGGTTCATTTAAAAAAAAAAAAAAAAGATAAAAGATACATTTTTTTTTTAACTCACCATGAGGTCAATATGACTTCTCATTTTCTGGTAACTCTCCTCCTGATACTGCTTTACTTTGGGCTAATTCAAGAGAGACACTATTTCATAAATGAGAAGGTGAAAGTTCAGGTGGTCAGAGTTCTTGGAGGATTGTGCTTTGTTTAATTCTCAGAACAATCCGTGAAGTAAGTATAATTTTTATTTGTGTTTTACAAATGAGATGATTGGGATACAGAGAAGTTAGGTAATTTGAAACATATCACATAAGTCACAGACTTAGTAAATGGATGATCTGGAATTAAATATATGTCAATGTATAATAATAGAACATGGTAAAAAATGCAAATGTTCTAGAAGAAAATAAAATTAAATAAAGTTTCTACTTTCAATGTTTTTTTTTCCTTGCAGTCCCCCTTACTAGAGGTAACCAAACTGGTAGAGTTAAAAATGAACTCTTATTGTTTTTAGTCTTTCTAGGGATGACTACTAGAACTCCAAATAGTATGGCCTTATTTCTTGACCTATGATTGTAAATAGTTTTAATAATGCTCTGCTCTAAGAAGTAAGGAATTTAGTGCATTATTTCCTTTCCTCATCTCTTCTCCCCTTTGAATCCCAGGTTTCATTGATTACATTTTTTAGTTCTATTTTTTTTATTTCGACTTTAAATAATGTACTTAAATCTCGTTCTTGTTTTTTCAAATGTTCACTGTATCTTTTGATTTCCCACTCTCAGAATAATCAGTTAACACCTTTTTACATCTCTCCTCTTCTCCTCTCCATCTTTATTTCAGGCATCTGCTAGCTAAGATGTTGTTTTTCATTGTTGAGATTTTTAACAATTGCATTCTAATCTGACACTGTAGGTAAGTCTTCTGTGCTTTGTCTGTAGGTTGATTCTAAAATTAAAAAGTAATTTAAAAGATTTATAATACAATAATTATGGTATATTTTTTCTGAAGAACCAACTAATATAATTTGAATCACAGATAAGTAAATAATAACTCTATATCACTAAACAAATATCAAAGATGGATTTTTAAAAATTTTATGCTCAAAATCATTTCTCATTTTAATTTACTTGTTTGAATTTTAAATTTTTTTGAGCTTTTCCCCTGAAATTTTCAATTATCTCTCTTTATTATTGTTGATATAGGAAACATTTTTATATAAACCCTTTTTTATATATTTTAAAAGTTTATAAATCATTAAGAAGTTTAAACTTCTTAATAATGCTATTTGTCCTGAAGTTCTAGAAATTTTGACTTCTCAGAGTTCTAACTGTCTATTCTATTTTGGTCTGACTCATTTCTGGACCTGCCACAGAAATCTCAGGATTTATTTTCATCATGCTCCTGGATTAAGTCCTCTATGTCTTGAATCACATTTCTTTTTTTAGTGGATATCATCTTGGGAACATTTTGTGCATTTCTGGAGAATATCTTCAAAAGATTTTTATTTTTTCAGAAAGATTGCACGGAAAGTTAGGTTTCTGAGGCCTTGTATATTAGAAAATTATTTATTTAGCCTCTGTCTTGAGGTTGCTTTGCAGTAGGCAGGATCAATTCTCCACCCAAAATTGGTTTAAGTATTGAGACTGATGACACCATACATTCCCCAAGTTGGTATAAAAATGTTTATTGAGGCTGGGCGCGGTGGCTCACACCTGTAATCCCAGCACTTTGGGAGGCCGAGGTGGGCGGATCACGAGGTCAGGAGATCAAGACCGTCCTGGCTAACAGTGAAACCCCGTCTCTACTAAAAATACAAAAAATTAGCTGGGCGTGGTTGCAGGCGCCTGTAGTCCCAGCTACTCGGGAGGCTGAGGCAGGAACATGGCCTGAACCCGGGAGGCGGAGCTTGCAGTGAGCCAAGATCAGGCCACTGCACTCTAGCCTGGGTGACAGAGCGAGACTCTGTCTCAAAAAAAAAAAAAAAAAAAAAAAAAAAGTGTTTATTGCTCACATAATGGGGCTTTCTGAGGATAGCAGGGCAGGTACCCAAGCCAATCAGAAATGACTTGAGTGAAGGAACAAGTGACTCTGACTTTATTGTGGTTAGCGGGTAAAGCCAGGGTGGGAATTTGAAATTCCTGATAGTGCCTAGGGAGGAAGTGCAGGGTCCTTCTTATCAGTTTGCCTAGATGTGGGGAAAGAGGGGAAGAGAGAGGAGTGGAGATTGAAAACTTCCAGTGTTGAAATATGAAGAATGGAGTCAGACTCCTTATTATACCATTTATTATACCCTCAAATGATAGTTTGGTTGAATGCACAACTTTACATTGAAAATCATTTGCCTATAGAACTTTAAATACATTGCTAATACATTTTTCTAATAGCATCTTCTATTGATGATGAAAAGTCTGATGAAAATTTCTTTGAAGATAAAAATTATTGTATTTTCTTCTTGGAAGCTTATTAGATCTATTCAGTATTCTTACATTCTGAAACTTCCTTATAATGTGCCATACTATAGACATTTTTTCCACTCATTTTGTTTGACATTTAGTATTTCCTTTCAGTTTCATGTGTATGCTTTACTTCAGTTCAGAGGTGGAAAAAAGCTCTCTCAAATTTTTTGTTCTATTCTTCCATTTGTTCTTTTCTCTCTAAATACATTATTGGACCAAATTTTATGCCCCTCAGTTTATCTGCCATGTATCTAAACTTTCCTCTCATATTTTATGCTTCTGCTTTTTGTTTTATAATGAGAGAAAATGATTTTACTCTTTTAGTCTTCCCTTTGTATTTTTTTAATTTGCCAATCTTAGGTTTCAAATTCTCTGGCTGTTCCTTTTTCATAGCAAACTGTTCTTGTTGTTTGGATGAACTATCTTATGAATCTCTTTGAGGAGATTGTAACAATTCTAAGTGTGTTTGACCATGAGTAGTAGAAAATCCAATTATAGTAGCTTCAAAAACAAAAGAATGTATTTGTCTCTTGCAGCAAGAATCTGAGGATAGGCAAATTGGAGTTGTTCTAGTGAAGACAGTCTCTCCATTTTGAAGGTCTGTCATCTTTAGCATGTAGGCCTCTTTCCTCATGCTTACCCCTGCATGGTCACATGAAAGTTACTGAGCTTCCAGACATTACATCAGGTTCCAAACAACAAGAAGAGATAAAAGCCAAAGACTGAATTTAATCTGTATCTTTTCTTTTTTTTTTTTTTTAAGATGGAGTCTTGCTCTGTCACCAGGCTGGAGTGCAGTGCACGATCTTGGCTCAGTGCAACCTTTGCCTCCTGGGTTCAAGTGATTCCCCTGCCTCAGCCTCCCAGGTAGCTGGGACTACAGGCATGGGCCACCATGCTCAGCTAATTTTTTTGTATTTTAGTAGAGACGGGGTTTCACCATGTTGGCCAGGATGGTCTCAATCTCCTGACCTGGTGATCCGCTGCCTCGGCCTTTCAAAGTGCTGGGATTATAGGCGTGAGCCGCCGCTCCCGGCCCTAATCTATATCTCTTCTATATCTAAAGATATCTACATATTTTTAAATACTTTCCTGAAAGTCCTACACAGTGACTGATGCTTACATATCACTGTTCAGAATTAAGTCACATGGCTACACTAGATTAATCATTGGGAGGTATTTCAAGAGGAGTTGCGAGTGGAATTAAGTCAGTTAACTAAGTGTCCACCAAAGATACTAACTGAAGTTTTAATAGATGTCTACTTCTTTCTTTATTTTCTCTTTTATTGTTCTGTTTCTTAAATAACTGATCATACTTGGCTTCACTTGTATCTCAAGAACTAGATAGACAAATTTATGACTGTCCTTTTTTGTTTCAAATTATTTTTCTCTTTTTGTGTATTTACCACTTATGGTAAAGATAAGGTTCCTCAAGTTTTATTATCTGTTTTTTCAAGCATTTCTCATTTTGAAAACTTTGCTATATTACTTATTCTCTTACATGGTGGGATTATGATAGTCACAAAATGCTGTCACATATGAGAAAAATTCCAGGTTTTACCTGATTACCAAAGGTAGCTTTTTCTTCAATTAGATGTGTAACTGTTTAGTCCTCCACTTACTTTTATACTATATACATATTCACTTTTCACTGTGGGTATGTGATCTTGTTCTTATTTAATTCTGGATCGTTGCCAAAAAAACTTGAACTGAACTAGAACAGCTCATTTTCCAATTAGCTCATATTTGTTTTCATTCTTTTTCTTTTTTTCATGGGCTTCTGAAAAGATTTTGCTTTGGGTTTTTGAGTGGGGGAAAAGTGAAAAGATAGAAATAAAAAGATTAGGGGATTGGGCCTATAGAAAAAGAAAGGTAAAATGTTGTTTTTGAAAGTTTCCCTTCCTTGAATTAGTATCATTTTACAAGTATGGTTACATATTCTGTTTTCATTAGCGCTGAGCTTTACTAGTTTATAAAATCTTTAGAAATAAATTTTTAAAAAGTGTATTAGGAAGATACTAATTAAACCTATACTGACATAACAAGGCCGAGAATGGGATGTAATGGAAGGTGGAGTGTGGGGAGGAGAGAAGATGGAGGGTGTAAGAGAAGCACCTGTGGCTTTCTTGTGTGGGCCTTTGCTAGAAGGTAGGAAGAGAAAAACATATATTAATATATCTTGATCATCTGTTAACTTTTTGGAAGCTCAGCAGATATGTATCCCTAAGATAATATTTGAACGAACATTTAGACTTTGAAGTGTTTTAGTGGTAAAATCCATGACGTTTTGCAGAGCAAGTCTAAGAATTCACCCAGAAATGGCATCAGTATAGTCCAGATTGATTAAGATGGTTTTGATTTCATATGTATTTTTTATTTTAAACATACATTTTGTTAAATATAACTGCATTTAATGTATATGGTTTCACAAAATATATTACATATAAATATTTATAAAAATATTCTGTCGTATTAAATGTACACAGAGACTAGGTGGCTACTGGAAGAGAAAACATAGGCGAAATTACATTCCTAAGATTATTCACTTAACAGCAGAGGCAGGACTAAGTAAGGAAAAGGATTAATGTTTGAGCCACTGCATTGTGTTAGATGCACAGTAGGCTATTTATATAAATCATTGTTTTTAATCTTATAACTTTCAAAGAAACTGTTATCTCTATTTTAAATATAAGGAATCTGAGAGCATAAATACCATTGACTCTTGAGCAATGCAGAAGTTAGGGGTACTGACCTCCCTACAATTGAAAATCTGCATATAACCTTTAACTCTCCCCAAACCTAACTACTGGTAGTCTACTGTTGACTGGAAGCCTTACCGATAACATAAACAGTCGACTAGCACATATTTTATATGCTCTAAGTATTATATGCCGTATTCTTACAATAAAGTAGCTAGAGAAGAGAAAAAATATTATTAAGAATATCGGAAGGAAGATAAAATATATTTAGTATTCATTAAGTGAAAGTGGATTATCCTAAAGGTCTTCATCCTCATTGTTTTCATGTTGAGTAGGCTGAGGAAAAGGAGGAAGAGGAGGGGTTGGTTTTGCTGTCTCAGGGGTATCAGAGGTGGAAGAGGGGGAGGACATGAAAGTGGAGACAGGAGAGTCAGGACAGTCCATGTAACTTTTACTGAACTTGATCCCTGCAGTTCAAACCAGTGTTGTTCAAGGGTCAAACTGTTGAAAAATTCTCAGAGTTAGTTCAAGGAGTGTATGAATTTGCTATGGTTGCTGTGACAAAATACCATAGGCTGGGTGGCTTAAACAACAGAAATCTATTTTCTCACAGTTCTGGAGGCTTGAAATCCAAGATCACGGTGTCAGCAGGGTTACATTCTTTTGAAGCCTCTTTTCTTGACTTGTAGATACTTTTTCTGGTATCTTTTTGCAGTGTCCTCACGTGGTCTTTCCTCTTTGTGAGCACACTCATTGTGTCTCTCTGTGTCCGGATTGCTTCTTCTTATAGGAATTGAATTAGGGCACACGCCCGACAACCTCATTTTGACTTAATCACCTCTTTGAAGACCCTGTCTCTAAGGCAGTACCATTCTGAGGTAATAGGGGTTAGGACTTCAACATATGAATTCTTGGTGGGGGGCCATATTTAGTTTATAAGAAGGGGGATAGTTGTATTTCAGAATACTGAAATGGACATCAGCCATATGAAGAAAAGTTATAACTTTTTTCTCTTCTATTATTTGGTGTCCTGAAATATTTTTATAGAGGGAACATGTGGCTGGAGGGACTTGATCTCCAACCATTCATGCAGCATAAGGTTAGCCCAAATACAGAAATGGGTCCAACTGGCGTGGGTAGAGAGAATGCCAAACTCAAATGCCTTATGCTAGAATATTCAGTGTAGGAGGAATCTAGAAACTACTTAGTCTAAGCTCTTCATTTTACAAATGAAAAAACAAAAGTCCAATTATGAAATGACTTGTAGAATATTACAAAATTAGTGAGTGTAACAGGATGAACATTTTTATAACTTGCTATATGCTATTCATTGAGTGTATATATATATACATATTCAATGAATATATATACACACATACATAAATATAATTTTTAAGATGAAATTTTAAGGTAGTCATTTTTATCTTCATTTTACTGAAAAAAGAAATCCCGAGGATGAGATCTAATTCTGAGTTTTTATATGGATTCACTTTTTTTCTTCTTTTTACTTTATTTGACACAAGGAAGAGTTCACAAAATCTCCAGATGGGAGAGAATCTAAAGGAATCCTGACTGTCACATGTGATACATGCTAGTAGGTGCAAAAGACAGTATCTCCTTGTCACTCATTTTCATATCGATTATATAGCCATGAAAATCACAATTAGATGTGACTGAAGACCTAGCTAACTTGCTTCATTTTGTTTCCTTTGGTTGCTTTGTGAGTAGAAAGGCTGATGCTTTAAAGTTCTTGCCCTTTATGAGGTGGTTTAAATAGCATGTCATTGATGAAACAAGTGAAATTTGTCACATCTAATTTCATTTTTTCAGAGAGTTGCATCAAAAGTTTATGGATACCAACTTCATTTTTAATGAGGAAAAAACTTGCTTTGTTGCCTTTGAAACATGCAAACCTTTGTTCATGTCCCCAGCCCTTTCTCTTGAGATTGGGCCTATAGGTGGCAGCAACTGTTAGCTGTTGAGCTTGGGTGACATGTGCCATAAGTTCTCTTGAAATACTTTAAATACTTTAAATATTCTTGGATACTTGAAAATGAAATTTTCTCTAGATAAGAAAGTGAAAGGTCAAACTTGAATCGTGACTGTTGAAGGATTCATACACTACAGTCAACATTATATAGATTAAAAATGGTGTAGGGGCTTGAACATTCTATATTTTAAAAGTTTGCAATGTGATGATGGTAGAGTTCAATCTTTAAGATTTGTGACTGCTGTGGTCAGATTGGTTATCCTTTGCTCTCCATTATTTTGTGTAAAATGGGCTTTTGAACTTAGAGTAATCTAGAATAAATCAGTTCCTCTGAGCTTAACATTCAATAAAAGTTGAGATTTTGATTCATGTACTATCTGTTTTACACAATGAATGTGTCATAGAAATGTTTAGTACAATTTAAGTTTTTGCAAATCAAACAATGCTTACTTGCATAAAGCAGTTTATACTTTAAGGGGAACTTGCAGGGAAAATTCTACTCCAGTTTGAATTATTTCATAGGAACTTTTTTGAGAATTTGGAATTTTGTTAACCTGTTTTCCTAGATGAGGAACACCTGTGTTTAATAATGCCTTCCAACAGTCTGCTAGATTGGGAGAGAACTGAAACAATATGGACTTTAGCAGGCTGTCTATAGGTGACTGCTAAACTCCACTTTGGCATGACTAATCTAATCACACCAATTATCTTCATGGTTTATATTACTTGTGGCTCAGTCCATTGAGGAGACAGTGGATTGCATCAGCCCCATTTCAGTCAACTGGACCCAGCCTTTGTGTTTCCTTATTCTGAAGATTACTTAAAATGCTGCTTCTCTATTCACTAGACTTTTATAAACCTCCTAAAGTACCACATATGATAGAAGACGAGCTGCTTTTAATATTGACCTTTGGCCATTCCTCAAAAACAACTTATTTGATTTAATTTCCTAAGAGAATTTTTATGTGCAGTATTTAGTTGGGCTACTTCTACTGTGTGAAGAAAACGTCATTTCCCTTTATTACATTGACCCAATTTGAAAGAGAAAAAAAAAATGGCATCACATTTGGAACTAAAGTTTTAGCGCATGCCAACAGCAAGACTCACTGAATCAAAACAGATGGCTAAAAAATAGTTTGGAATAGATGTATCTATCCTATAGATGCCTGTTAAAGAATTTTAGAAAAATGAGGTATGGCTTTTTCATGCTATAACCTTGGCAATAATTTATAAATTTTGATTTTTTAAAATATATTTTGATATTGAAATAACATGGCTAAAATTAAAATTGAGTATGAACAACGGAACATCTTTTGTACTGGGATTTATCGAAGATTAAAATCAAAGGGTTCATTTCCTCCTTTGGGACTAGTCTGCAGTTGATCTTTTAGGTATTTGTTGTTGGTTTATTTGGATTTGTTTTTTGAGTGTGCTGGGTGGATGGATGAGGGCATAGAACAGATCCATAGACATTGACCTACAAAAGCAAATGTTATGTGTAATCAAATCAGCTACAATCTGTATTACTAGGCAAAAATATTAGAACCCCACGAGAATGTGCTGAAAAACAAAATATCACATAACTTTTAGGGGAATGCAGAGGAAAGAGCCTAATACAAGGCAAAGGTGAAGAAATAAAAGAAAGTGCTTCAAACAGATGGGCCTTTTCTACAGAGAACTTCCTTGTTGTCCTTCCACTTGAAAATACACTATACTGTATTTAATCCTTTAATCCTTATCTTTAAAGATAAGGGTTTGTCCCAATGATTATTTTATTATTGCTCTAAACTTGTATAAAATGTAACAAGTCACACCTTACATTTTTAAAGGAGACTACCTTTCTACTTTTTAAAATCCAGGTTGTATCGTCATTGGGTAATACTTTGTCTATATCCATGCACCAAACAATATTTAGCAGGAATAGTGCTTACTAACCGATTAAATTCCAGATGCATCCTTGGTAATAGCCCCTCGTCTATCCGTGGACTTGGTCCTCATTATTACTTTCTTGTACTCAGTGCATCTTCTTGATACAGTTCTCTTTTGCCTTGAGTGGGGTGAACTGCAACCATGTGGCCCTAAAGGAAATGTCCCAGGGGTTTCTGAAAATCAATTTTTCTTTTTAGACAATGCTGTGATTTTGGATGAAAAAACTATAGAGTGTCTCCAAGATCAGTCACCTCTCCCCAAAATAATTCCTTCTCTGTGATGTCTTCTGAAGTCCACATTTTAAAATTCCTCCCTTGTCCACCCAAACACACACACACACACACACCCCCATAAACACCAACAAATTAAGCTCTGCACTACATCACATGTCTCTTATGTCTCTTTTCTCCACAGATTAATCATAAGACTTCAGCATTTTACCTTACATATACCTTGTTAGAGAAAAATCGCCAATCTTTTCAGTCTCAACACGGTTGTATTTATTATTGAGCGAAATGATAATTCTAAGATATAAGCTTTATGAGGGCAGCATTATTAACTATTTTGCTCTTTGTAGTTTGCAGTTTTGCCAACACCATAACAGAGTTTGGTATGTAATAGTTTCTCAATAAGTACTTGTTGAATGAATGAATCACTAAGAAAATTAGTGGAACAAATTTAACGGTTTTGCTGTGATACAATCTCTAACTTTCCTCCAGTTTAGAATTAAGCTCCAGTTTCACACAAACACTCTGGTATTCTAATTTCTCATTAAGCACCTTAATTTACCAGAGACTTATTCTGTTCCTATTATCTTGTCAGTGCTTTCGTACCATGACTAGAATAACAGCCATTTTCTCTTCTCTTCAATACATAAAAAGCCTACCTTTACCCCAAGAATGAATGCTTTAGAATTTTTCTCACTCTTGAGTGCTCTAAGGCATTGCAAGGCTTTGCTGTCCACTTGAACAGTTGATAATAGTCCTTTGATGTAGAGCTTTGAACAAGAGATAAGAAATAGTAATCTAACCATAGCTTATGCTGATAGTCAACAGGACCATCTTGCTATTCATGCCACTAAAGATTATTTTCTACCTTGCTGTCCAATTAACATAAAAACTCTCTCAAAATTATGTAGAGGCCATAAACTATACCTTCTAATTGTTCACTTCTCTCTCTCCCTCTCCTACCTTCTAGTACCGTCTATTTTTTCTGAGTCTTATCTGCATGATAAGACATAGGATGTAAACAAGAGTGGCATTCTATGTCAACTCTCCTTTTCATGGACGGTATCGCCTGAAATGAAGTACAGTCAGAGTGTAAATATATGTACCTTTCTTTCTGAGTAAACAGTTTCAAAAAAGAAGCCACAACAGAAGTGTTATTTTTAAAAACTGTTGATCACAAATAGTGGGGAATTTTTTACTGAGTTGGAAGGAGATTTGACAAAAGTCACAGTTGTTGGTACTAAGTTTTTGGTGCTGAGACAGGAATTGTGCTACCTCCTCATTCAACCTAGATTTGGGAGGTGACAGACCCAGTGCAAGTCTACTCTTGCATTCTTATGCTTTGAAGAATCTTGAGATAAACTCTCAGAAATGGGCTAACTAGCCACAGGAAAGTTTGTTATCTTTAAAAGACTTAAACATCCCACCTTCATCCTTCCTTCATTTGGTCTTCACCTTGTCCAAGAGAAAACCAGTCAAAGGGCTCATTTAGAAACATTTTCATTCTGTTGAGACTGATTCAAACATTTTCCCAAAACTTCTTTCTAGACCAATCTGGTTTTCCTGCCAAGAAATTCACTCTCACTGCTCTGCTTCCTGGGATTTGGGCATTAGCTATTGGTCTCTTTCTGTGGTTTTCTCTGTTTTTGTCTCCATGTTCAGCTTACTTTCCTTAATAAATCTAAGTTATCTCACTCTTTGAAACTTCTTGGTCCACATTGCTCAAAAGCAGAGCCAGAGGAAAAGGCAGTTCATGTCTCATTACTGTGGCAGAGGTTTGGACACTCCCAGAGGGCTCTCTGTTCCTCCTCCTCCCGCTGGCTATTGCAACAGGTTCCTGGAGTCAGACAATGCATTATCATGAGGATTACACTGATCAGCTCTAAGTCAGTTAGGTAACAGGAGCTCTTTCAATGGTGTCCTAGGATTTTGTCAGGTTGACTGTTCAAACACTGGTTTTTGGGATCCCCTCCAGCATTCCTTAATGTAATCCAGGCATGTTATTGCAGGTTCTATTTGAGAAGGGGCTACTTACTTGTCACTTAGAATATTTTCAGTTTTAAGTCAAAACCTTTTCAGAAAAAAAAAGAAAAAAAAGACAAAAGATATGAGAGCCCATGTAGGAGAGGCAGAAAAGAACAAAATGCAGAAAAGTCTATCAAATGCCAAACTTAGGTTAAGTGCACGTGTGCTCCGGAGAATGAGGTTTCTGTTTTGTTTTACATAGAAACTGCGATGGTTTTGCACTGTTTTGGTAACTACTGAGTAACTACTAAGTCACTACTAAGATCCAGTGAATTCAAAGGCAGAGGAACACAGGCAAGAGTGCAGGTCTGAGCTGCTTAGAAGGCTCAGAGATGTGTGTCTGTGTTTGACCCTCAGTGGGAGGAAGTGCTATAGGCTCCTGGTGGATGCCCATTTTTTTACCATATTATGCTATTGGATACTATTAAGAAGACAGGCACATTTCTGGGTGCCAGGGAAGAGACAGTGGTTCCAGATGAGTCAGACTGCTGCTGTCACCTCCTCCCTGCTGGAAAAACAAGACTCAGAAGCGACTTGGAGATGTTCAGAACTTGGGGTGAAGGCGTAAAGAGATGAAGTTTTCAAAGACCAACCATTTGCCAATGCCCTTTAAGTAGATATGAGTTGTCATATTTTAGCATAGTTTTTCTGGACAGAACCCCTTTAGATCTCTACTGTGATGTGACAGGCTCTTCCCAAACTTGCATAGAGAAGTGAAGTGGCTAGGTACAGAGCAAGGGGAGAGAAGACACTGTCTATAGATTCCAACCAAGGACCTTTTCCAGACCTTACTCTCCCTTTTTTATTTCTCATCCATTGTAATCTCATCCTGGGGTGCTATAAAGATACATATCCCTGGGGTGCTACTTAAATTATGGGATATAAATATAACATACCCCAGAGTCACCTCCATTAAATCTAATGGAAATTCAGACTTCATGGAAATCAACTATGGCACTTTTCTTGAGTATTTCTGGATTATTTAGTAATAATATATATCTTTCTTAACCCCAGCCCCATATATATATATTATATTATATATATATACATATTATATAGATATACATATATACACACATTATATATATACATATATACATATATTATATATAATATATATTATATGTAATGTATATATGGATGCATTATTACTGTGCATGTATATATATACACACACACTCTCCAGGATGCATTATTACTGTGTGTATATATATATACATACACATACACAGACTTATATACAGCACTGAACATTCTGAATTAGTAATAATTTGTTCATTTTTTATCAGACTTTACTAACAGGTCAGGGTGATATGGCCCAGCCTGAGAGGCAATATGGCAAAATATAAAGTGCAGGCAGAGTAAAAAAAAGAAATGCTCTTCCTTTTAAAATGTAGCCATCATTTATGGCCTTGGGTAGTTGATATAAACTCTCCACAACTGAGGGTCCTAGTTGGTAAAAAAGGCTTCATAGACTTATTGTACATTACATTGCTGTTTATATATACATGTTTTTATATACATTCCTTTTAAATTGAAGTGTCATGCTCAGTGCCTGACACACTATAAGTATCCAATAAATGACATCTCCATTTTTCTTTCCATATAAGTTAAAGGCCTTCTTACAAGAATTGGTGCCTAAAAGAAATCAGTGTATGAATATTTTAAAAACTGAAGTGCTTTAAAGAATGCGTGTCTCCCACTCTAAATTTCCTTAGATCACTAGTCTTCTTTGCACTTAAAAATGTCATCAGTATACTATGTAGATTCTGCCTTTGATTTGTAGTGATTAGATAGGACTGGTGAATCATTAGCTAACTCATAAGATTGTTGAATACTTGGAGACAGTGAGACGCAAGCATATCTCTAGATCTCAGTTGGTCCAAGGTACATGTCTCTGCTCCTAAAATTATGCCATTCTTTCTAAATTCTCTGAAAAAACCCTAAAATAGATAATCCATCTCTGATGCTATATATTGGCCTATTTTCATTCCCTATGGGTCTGAGTCCAACTGTCTAGCAAATGCACTTAAAAATGATAATGCTGTCCTCAACACTATCTTCAGGGCTCCCTGCCAGTTAGATGTTTTCAATGTCTTTTTCTTTCTTTCTTTCTTCTGGCTTCTCCCAGCGGTTGGAGCTGTCTCATGATGCTGCCAACCTCTACAGCCCCCTGGAGAAATCAACTTAGCTACAGGTTGGGACGGGGGTAGGGAATGGGAGTGTGCGGCTTTATTCCATTTGAGACAGGGGCCATATGTGCTCACATCCACACCTATGTATTTTTTCCTCACCAGTAGTTGTTAAGTTGTTAATTCTGTTCTTGATAGGTTTTAAAAGAAAGGGGGAAAAATGCTCGGGCTAAAAGACCCAAGAGAAGGAAGCAGGAGTGGTTGCTATGAGCTTTGAAACATGCACACGAGCGTGCATGCACACACACACACAAATACATGGACAAAAGGATAAATCGAAAAAGAATGCGACAACCCTTGCTTGGTTTAGCAGTCCGGTCAGCCCTACAGATGAGGAAGTGCTGCTTTGTCCCAAGCTAAAGCCTTGTTTTCTTGTTCATTGTCTTTCTGGGTAAAATCTGGGGGAAATTCACCTGTCTGATGCAAAGTTAAACTGCTGGCTTTAATGTGACTGCATGGGAACTTGGGTTTATTAATGAATACAACATACCCTCTTTGATTTGAAAGCTTTCACCCTGCTGAAAAGATTCAAAAGGCATCGCTTCCTGCACCAGCGGCATTCCTTTATCCGTCTCAGTGGTTCACCCCTACCCAGCTGCTATATCTCATTAACAAGCATTTGACCACTGCAGCCGGCCTGGGAGTGTTGACACTTGAAAAGCCCAGGCAGGCGTGGGCAGGCCATCAGCTATGGCAACAGGAAACTGCCCCGGAGACAACACTGAGAAAACAGCAGCTGCAAAAGCCAAAGTCAGAGCAGACATAAAGGGCTGCCTATATCCACGTTGGTCTGGGGTATCGATGCATGCCTGTGGGTCTGAATCCACACATCTATTTACTGTATTCACAGGATAGAAAGGTTGCTATCAGCATGTATCAGAGTCAGAGCTTTTTGACAACGCAGAATAATTTTTTTGACTTATGATGTTCTTGGATCCTTAGGTTTCTTATTCTCCTAACAACCTAAATTCTTGTTTGTGTACTTAAGAATATTCACCAGAGGCCTCAAGCTTTATATACACATTTACTCTAGTGGAAGTCATATGCACAATTAAAAAAATGTATATGCATGAACGCTTACATATTTTTCATGCTGCTACATTATTTTTCAAGAACAAGTAAACTTGTGAGACTGTCATATGAATATATAAGATTACTTTAAAAGCCTTTGGTTTAGGAATCAAACTGGTGGTTTTGTGTAAAATATTTAAGAATGAAAGCATTCTTTCAATTGTGCAATAGCTTGTAAAATTAAGTGGGTTATTTCATATATATTATTGATTATAATTTT